>NC_000015.10:91289762-91441278 GCF_000001405.40 Homo sapiens | reverse complement strand
GAGTTGGATCTTTCTTTTTTAACCAGTTTGACAATCTGTGCCTTTTAATTGGAATGCATAGCCCATTTATATTTATGGTAATTATCAATATATTTGGCTTAAAAATCTTTTTTGCTATTTCTTTTCTTTTCATTCCTTCTTCTTTTTTTTTTTTTTTTTGAGATGGAGTTTCGCTCTGTTGCCCAGGCCAGAGTGCAGTGGCACGATCTCGGCTCACTACAAGCTCTGCCTCCCAGGTTCACACCATTCTCCTGCCTCAGCCTCCTGAGTAGCTGGGACTACAGGCACCCACCACCATGCCCGGCTAATTTTTTGTATTTTTAGTAGAGACGGGGTTTCGCCGTGTTAGCCAGGATGGTCTCAATCTCCTGACCTCATGATCCGCCCGCCTTGGCCTCCCAAAGTGCTGGGATTACAGGTATGAGCCACCGTGCCTGGCTTTTTTTTTTTAATTTAAGACAGGTTCTCACTCTGTCCCCCAGGCCAGAGTGCAGTGGCATAATCACAGCTCACTGCAGCCTCGACCTCCCCACGCTCAAGTGATCATCCTGCCTTAGCTTCCCAAGTAGCTGGAACTAGAGGCATGCACCACCACACCTGGCTAATTTTTGTATTTTTTCTGTAGAGACAGGGTCTTGCTATATTGCCCAGGCTGGTCTCAAACTCCTGGGCTCGACGATCTCCCCATCTCAGCCCCACAAAGTGCTGGGATTACAGGCGTTATACCCAGCCTTCTTTTTTATTATTGGTTTGTTTCTCCTTTCCTGTCTTCTTTGCGTGAAATGGATTTTTTTTAGGATTTTATTTTAATTCTTCTAACACTTTTTTTTTTTAGCTATACCTTTCTTAGTATTTTTTACTGATTACTTTGGTTTTACAATATATATCATTGATTTATCTCAGACTATGTAGATGTTAATATTGTGCTGCATTATATAAAGGTAAGGCACCTGCAAGAGTGTAGTTCCATTTGCACCCCTCACACCACATACTGTTGTTGTCATATATTTTACATCCACATATAAAATGTTGTAAATTTTGCATTAAACTACTGTTGTATTTTAAATGATTAAACAGAGGAATAAAAAACACTTATTTATATCTACTTACTTATTTACCATTTTCTGTGCCCCTTATTTCTTCCCATAGGTCTAAGTTTCTATCCAGTGTTAATTCCTTCAGCATAAATAACCTCTGCATTAGTTTTAACAAACTATCAGGTGATGGGTGCACCAAACTCCCACAAATCACCACTAAAGAACTTACTCATGTAACCAAACACCACCTGTAACCAAAAACCAGTAGCTTAAAGCAACACAAATGTATTACCTTATAGCTCTGTAAGACAGAAGTCTGAAATGAGTCTTAGTGGCTAAAATGAATATGTCAGCCAGGCTGTGTTTCTATCTAGAGGCTCTAGGGCAGGAGTCCTCAACCCTCAGGCTATGGACTGGTACTGGCTCGTGGCCTATTAGGAACTGGGCCACACAGCAGAAGGAGAGTGGCAGGAAAGTGAATGACGTTTCATCTGTATTTATGGCCACTCACCATCACTATTCCTTGCATTACTGCCTGAGCTCCACCTCCTGTCAGATCAGTGGTGGTATTAGATTTTCATAGGTGCCCAAACCCTATCATGAGTGTGCATGGGAGGGATCTAGGTTGCATGCTCCTTATGAGAATCTAATGCCTGATGATCTGTCACTGCCTCCCATCACCCCCAGATCAGACTGTCTAGTTGCAGGAAAACAAGCTCAGGGCTTCTACTGATTCTACATTATGGTGAGTTATATAATTATTTCATTATATAGTACAATGAAATAATAATAGAAATAAAGTACACAATAAATGTAATGTGCTTGAATCATCCTGAAACCTTCTCCTACCCTGACCCTGATCTGTGAAAAAATTGTCTTACACAAAACAGTCCCTGGTGCCAAACAGATTGGCCACCACTGCTCTGGAAGACAAGCTTATTTAGTAAAGGTTTTATTTTAGATATTATACTTTTCAGTTCTAGAAACTAAATGGGTTCTTTTCTATGTGCTAGCCTTTCTGCTGAAATTCCCCATCTGTTCAGTTATTATGATAGTCTTATCTTTTAAGTACTTAAATATTTTTATAACTTAAGAATCTTTGGCTGGGCATGGTGGCTCATGCCTCTAATCCCAGCACTTGGGAGGCCAAGGCAGGTGGATCACCTGAGGTTGGGAGTTCAAGACCAGCCTGACCAACATGGTGAAACCCCGTCTCTACTAAAAATGCAAAATTAGCTGGGCGTGTTGGTGCATGCCTGTAATCCCAGCTACTCAGGATGCTGAGGCAGAAGAATCGCTTGAACCCGGGAGGCAGAGGTTGCGGTGAGCCAAGCTCATGCCATTGCACTCCAGCCTGGGCAACAAGAGAGCAACTCCATTCCAAAAAAAAAAAAAAGAAAAATAATTTTTTTTTAACTAATTCTAATGTATTGATCATCTTAATTTCTGTTCCTATTGACTGCTTTGTCTTTTGATTATGGGTTATAGTTTTCAGCTTTTTTTTTTTTTTTGCATATGTAGTTTTTCTAATTATTTTTGTTGTATATTGGTTATTGTGGAAAATATGTTTATCTAGCCATCAGTTTACTGGATGAAAAGTTTGAACTTCTGGAGGCTTGGTATTATATTTTGCTACGGTGCTTCTCTTTGGAATTTTTTCTTGTAATAGAAAGAATCTTTAGTCCTGATAAATAGCATTTACCTATTTTTTCTTTTTCTTTTCTTTTTTTTTGAGATAGACTCTTGCTCTGTAGACCAGGCTGGAGTGCAATGGTATGATCTCAGCTCACTGCAACCTCTGCCTCCAGAGTTCAAGCAATTCTCCTGCCTGAACCTCCCAAGTAGCTGGGATTAGAAGCGTTTGCCACCACGCTCGGCTAATTTTTGGATTTTTAGTACAGACAAGATTTCACCATACTGGCCAGACTGATCTCGAACTCCTGACCTCAAGTGATCCACCTGCTTTGGCCTCTCAGAGGGCTGGGATTACAGGCGTGAGCCACCGCACCTGGCCAGCATTCACTATTCTTTTTGTTTTGTTTTGTTTTGAGGTGGACTCTCCCTCTGTCACCCAGGCTGGAGTGCAGTGGCACCATCTCTACTCACTGCAACCTCCACCTCCTGGGTTCAAGTGATTCTCCTGTCTCAACCACCCGAGTAGTTGGGATTACAGGCATGTGCCACAAGGCCTGACTAATTTTCATATTTTTAGTAGAGATGAGGTTTCACCATGTTGGCCAGGCTGGTCTCAAACTCCTGACCTCAAGTGATCCACCCACCTCAGACTCCCAAAGTGCTAGGATTACAGGTGTGAGCCACTATGCCCGGCCAGCAAGCACTCTAAAGGTATTCCCTCCTAAGGTTTCAATGGAAGGCCTAAGGTGTTTACGAAGCCTCTTTACTTGGATAGATTCAAACTTCAAACTGTCTCCCCTGCAATGAGTTGCAGTGTTCTGCTTTTTCACACTTCTAGCTTTTGCTTTCTTTTCTGCTATTTGAAGCCTCTCCCATACATGTATAGTCACAGATTTGAAGGAAGCTCATATACATATTTAAAGACTCTCCCATCCATAGGTTTTTCTTTTTCAGGACTTTCTCCTCTTCATTTTATAGCTGTTCTGGCATCCCTAAATTCTATTCTCTGAAACATCGAGCCAATAATACCGCCACTTTCTTCTTGAATTCTCTCTGTCCCATGTCATGGGGACTGGTGAATACCTTTATGAACAAAGCTGCATCAATGGAGACTTCACCTAGTTTTGTTCCCTTTTCCAAGCATCTAATCAAGCTTATGCCTCTTTTTGGATACTCTACGGTGTCTTCAAATAGTTGGGGTTTTCTTTTTTATATTTTATCCAGAGTTTATCATAGATTTTTGGGAAAGGGAATTTTCCTAGACAAGCTACTCTGCCATTACTGAAACTGAAATTCCTCCAATATTCTTTTAATAAAATATTTTCTACTTAAATCATCTGGGGTTGGTTTAGTTAGCAATTTTGCAACTAAAATCTGTGGCCAGATCTAGTACTGATGCAAGCCTTAAGACTGATGTTTAAGGTTGATGTAAAAGTTATATATTTATAAACAAGTGTTTATTTATTTGAAATCTAATTCCAATAAGTATTATCTTTTGGAATCACTGTTTAGCTATAGCTTTTAAATTTTTTTTGTTTTTTTCTTTTTTTGAGATGGAGTCACACTCTGTCACCAGGCTGGAGTGCAGTGGTGTGATCTCGACTCACTGCAACCTCCGCCTCCCAGGTTCAAGTGATTCTCCTGCCTCAGCCTCCTGTGGGATTACAGGCGTGCACCACCACAACTGGCTAATTTTTGTATTTTTAGTAGAGACAGAGTTTCACCATGTTGGCCAGGCTGGTCTTGATCTCCCAACCTCAGGTGATCCACCTACCTTGGCCTCCCAAAGTGCTGGGATTACAGGCATGAGTCACCGTGCCCTGCCACTTATTTTAAATATTTATGAAAATGCATAAATAAATGTACTTTCATGGCAACTTATCCTTTTCTGTGTGTGTTCCAGAATTGTCAAACTGACTTTAAAATAATGACAGAAACACTACTCTTCTGATGAGGTTTACATCAATTAGGACTCTTGGTTACAAGTGATCGAAAAATCAGCTTAGACTCACACTGACAAAAAAAAAAATCTCTTGGCTCTCGGGATTCATGGTACAATTGAAGAATTAAATTATGGTCAGCAGAGATGAATTTGAGCCTCAAAACAATTGAAGCCAGGTCAGTCAAGAGTCCAAGGACTCTGCCACGTTGGTCCACCTACTTCTTTCCAGCCATTGCCATTATTCACTCACCACCTGAGGAAACTTGGCTACCAGTAGCTGCTGATTGAGGAGAGACAGATTCTCTTTCTTTGACACAATACAAAAATTCTGTAGATAGACTCTGATTAGCTCATTTGGGTTATCCCTGCATCAGTCACTAAAGAACAAAAAGGACAAGGTTGAGAAAAACCATCTCAAACAGATGTAAAAAGGAGATCAGGAGGCCTTCCCAAGAGAGGGAGGAGGCAAGATAAATCCCTTAAATTTCCCCTTCAGGGTTCATTTCTAAAGGTTTACTAAATGCAGGAGGAAAGAATTTGAGGTTTAGAATACATACTTAGAAAATTAGATAAGTTTTCTATCAAAAAAAAACACAATACTTTTTGAGTGCTTATTATGTGCCCCACACTGTATCATCTATGCCTAAATATTCATTTGTTATGTGAAACCTGCCTGGGTAAAGCTGAAGTAGCATAAGGAGCATGGGCTATGGCTACAACTGAACCAGGTTCCAGTCAGCTGAGCAGGGCAGGCACAATTATTAATGATCTGACTTTGAGCAAGCTCGACAATCTCTATCCCTACATGCTTTTTACTTCTGTGTACCAAAAATGACTTTGTAGGGTTTCTGTGGAGACTGAAGAAAATGAGATAAATAAAACAGCAGAGATACATAATAATGTTAGCTGTTTAAAGTCATTGAGAGTCAGAGCCTGTTTACTTATACAATATCAACAATTTCACTTTCTTTCTGAACTTCAGAAAATAAAATCCATTATTTGACTTATTTGTACTCTGGAGGGAATAACATAGAATGAGAACAAAAAAAAATGTCAATCTCCTTCTGGCTTTTTTTGCAATTACAAAACAAGGACAAATGCAGATTCCAATAAACACTCATGGAAGGTCTTTGGTAGCAATTTAATTACATTATGTATTAAGCATTTAATAGTGGGACTTCACATAATTCTCATTCTGCTCCCCTTTCTCGTCTTCTGCTTTTCCTCCTACTACTTCCTTTCCTTCCTCTGCTACTCATCCCACCTAAAAGTCATCTGAAGGCAAATTAGACTTGGGTTATTCACCAGAATGGCTTGGGAAGGTTGCCATAGATATCTCTTCCCCAGACCTTTAAACAAGTTGATTACATTACATTACATCATTTACCCCAAGTTTAAGAGAAAAACTGAATTTATCTTGCTAAGTAGAAAATGTGTTTTTACTATTTTCAAAGAAAGTGAGTTGAAAAAAAAAGATAATATAAAAGCGCAGAGACAAATTGTCCTGCCTGGAATGAACATTCAAGCTGTATTAAAAATGGAACCAGCATTTTTATATTGGGACATATTATTTTTCTAGGACATATATAGTGTGAACAGTAGAGTGGAGGGCCAATGAATGAGGCTGTTCATTCAATCAAGGCCCATTGATCTTTAAATGATGAGATTTAGGAATCATAAATCTCACCAAGAAAATCAGGCCACCTCCCAAAATTGTGATTAGTATTATTAACGTATTCATTGCTCTTACTCATCTCCTTGTCTACTTTCTAATGTGGCACCCTTCACCAGCTGGTTTCTAACTGCATCTCCAGGCTTGCCTTAAACTGTGTCATTTAGACTCCCTACGCTTCACCAAACATCCTCTCCAGGGCCTTCCCTGATTCCTCCAGGTATTCCTGAATTGGCTAGGTTCTGCATCTTGCCAAAGCCCTTCATAACTGCACTGAACATGTGCATTATAATGATATGTTTATCTGCCTATCTACAGCTAGGCAAGGAGAAACTTGAGAGCAAAGCCTTTCATGTAATTGTTTTCTAAAGACAGTTGTATCATGATGTAATTAACACATAAAAACCTGCACATATTTCAAGTGCACAATCTGGTAAATTTTGACACACCCATATGCACACACACACACACACACATACACAAAACTATCACTAAAGTTAATATAATAAACAAATCCAGTACCCACAAAAGTTTCCTCATGCTCCTTTGTCATTCCTCCCCCAACCCCCACCTATTCCTACGGCCCCCAACCCCCAAACAACCACCAATCTGCTATCACTATGTTGCATTATCTAGAATTTTATGTGAAGGGAATCATACAATATGTATGCTTTTTGTCTGCCACTTTTTACTCACTCAGCAGAATAATTTTGGGATTCATCCATGCTGCTATATGTGTCAGTGGTTTATTCCCTTTGTAATGCTGAACAGTGTTCCACTGTAAGGACACACCACAGTTTGCTTGTCTATTCACTGTTGATGCCATTGGGGTTGTTTCCAGTTTGTGGCTATCAAAAAATAAGCTGCTGTGAACATTTCTGTGTAAGCATTTGTATGGACATACACTTTGATTTCTCTTGGGTAAATACCTATTCTTTTACTATTTACAATAGTAAATTTACAAAATTATTTTGTAACATATTGTATATTGTGTAATAAATATTGTATAAGAAATATATTATTTAAAAAATATATTTACTACTTACAATAGTATACTTACAATATACTATTCATATAGTAGCTACATGTTTAACTTTTTAAAAAAACTTTAAAATTGTTTTCCACACTGTACATTTCCACCAAGAGTATATGAGAGTTCCATTTGCTCCTCATCCTCATAACACTTGTTAGAGTCCATTCTTTCAGATACCTATTAGACATCCTGATGGGTATGCGGTGCTATCTTATTATTGTTTTAATTAACATTTCTGTAATAATTAAGGATGTTAAGCGTTCTTGTGCATATCTTTTGATGAGCATGTGTAAGTATTTCTGTTGGAATTGCTTGGCCAGGAAGGATGTACTAGGTCAGCCTTAGAAGATATTATGAAACAGTTTTTTATTTTTATTTATTTTTATTTTTTTATTTTTTTGAGATGGAGTCTTGCTCTTTCACCCAGGCTGGAGCACAGTGGCGATCTTGGCTCACTGCAACCGCATTCTCCTGCCTCAGCCTCCTGAGTAGCTGGGACTACCGGTGCCCGCCACCATGCCCGGCTAATTTTTTTTTTTTTTTTTTGTATTTTTATTAGAGACAGGGTTTCACCGTGTTAGCCAGGATGGTCTTGATCTCCTGACCTTGTGATCCACCTGCCTCGGCCTGCTCGTACCATATTAAACTCCCACTAGCAGTGTATGACAGTCCAAGTTGTTCTTCATCAACACTTGGAATTACATGCTTATTTAGCCATTCTGGTACGTATTGCATGATTCCATTCATATAAAATTCTAGAAAATGCAAGCTACAGGAGTGTCTTGCTGAGGTTTTAATTTGCATTTCCTTGAAAATGAAAATAAGCTATTTTTCAAATGCTTATTTGTCACTTAGCTATACATTCCTGAAATGCCTGTTCAAGTCTATTGCTCATGTTTTTATTAGGTTGTCTGTCTTCTTATTTTCATTTGCAGGAGCTCTTAATATGTGAGATTTAATTCTTAGGTCAGATATTTGAATTGCAAATATCTTCCCCATTCTGAATGGCTTCTTCATCCTCCTAATAGTGCCTTTTGATGAACAGAAATATCTAATCTTGTTATAGCTAAGTTTCTCAAGTTTTTTTTTTCATGGTTAGTGCTTTTTGAGTTCTGTTCAAGAAACTTACTCCCAGTTTATTAGGATTTTTTTCCTTCCACAATATTTATTGTTTATCATTCGCATTCAGATCTGCAACTCATCTGGAGCTGATTTGCTGCGCTTCCTGTTATTTGTCATATTCCGTGTTACTAAAAACCAGTATTTCTGATTTTTTCCTTTTGTGTCAAGCCCTACTATGGCTCAATATGATTACTGATCCCGTCTTTATTCAAAATTTTGCTATTTTGTTCAGAGTGCATTTTTGCATTAATTTTGATTTTTAACACATTGCGTCAAAATTATTTATCTTGATTGCTGCATTTATGTAGCCACATATACTTGGTGGCCAAGGCAGGTCCCTCACTCATTTCACTCTAGTACCTGCCATACCTTAATACCTGAACTGAAGCACCCGGATCTTCCTGCAATCAGGCCACTATCCACTTGCTTCAGAATAGCTATATGGATTGCTTCTAGAAGCCTCAGGCTCTCACAAGACTAGAGATCTTATTCTTTCCCTAAGTCAATAGAAATACTCTGGTAGCCTGAACTTGTTCACCATAATAATAATGAACTGCCTTGCAAAGATTCTGTGTACTCCCCACCCACCTTCTCCAGGGAAGAAACACTATCTGGCATCCCTAAGTGACTTAACTTTTGAAGGCCCATCCGGAGGGTTTTCTAGTCCCTTTCTCTGAAAAGCAGAAAAATAAATAAATAAAAGAATATATTAACTATTCAGTGAGTCATCCTACCGTGAACAGCATTGGATTGGACTAAATACCGCTGAGTGAGGCTGGGCGCAGTGGCTCACGTCTATAATCCCAGCACTTTGGGAGGCCGAGGTGGGTGGATCACCTGAGGTCAGGAGTTCAAGACCAGCCGGCCAATATGGTGAAACCCCATCTCTACTAAAAATACAAAAATTAGCCAGGTGTGGTGGCAGGTGCCTGTAATCCCAGCTACTCAAGAGGCTGAGGCAGGAGAATCGCATGAACCAGGGAGGCGGAGGTTTCAGTGAGCCGAGATTGCACCACTGCACTCCAGCCTGGGCAACAGAGTAAGACTCCAACTCAAAAAACAAACAAACAAAAAATACCTCTGAGTGTCCAGGTCTTGTCTGTGTAGTGGCAGCATCAAGGAACGCTCACAACTAAGGCAGTGACAAAAATGAAGACTGGAGCAGCCACTCTCAGAGAAGGGCCTTCACTACTCAAGTCTACTGACAGTCCGCACTACAATCAGTATCACTTATCTAAAAGAAGAAATTCAGAAGGCAAAGCAAGCCTAACATACGTCACCCTCGGAACATACAGCAGATTAAATTCTTCCACTGTTGCAGCCTAGGAATTTAATTTGTGCCTGGAGCTAAGGCGCTGAAAGACAAGTAAATATTTAAGTTGAGATGGACCTGCCTTCCTAACACAAAATCATACACTGAGAAAAAGAGGAAGATATAATACACATTTAATTTCTTACCTACCCTCTAGCATTTGGTCTATTTAGCTCTCCACCTCAGCATCACAATCAGCTTAATATGTACCTACTCATCGATTTGAATGTTGACCTGGGGCTATGGGATTTGCAGATAGGAAGACAGCGTTTTGGTCACTCATTAGGTAATGCTAAGCATTGTTTCTGCTGTGGCTTTTTCTTGCAGCAATTTCATTTCATTTCTGTCAGTACACCCTGATTAAACACAAATTCTCCCACGGCATGCCAGGTAATGGCCAGTACACAAAAGTAGCCAATAGCTCCAGGTCAGTCCTTGCTTTCACTGGACCAGTTGCCCTTCCTCTCAAATCATGGATTCCAATCCTCTGATTCTGATGCTTGTCCACTGAGTTTCAAAGACCACACTTTCTTTTGCTTTTCAACAAAGACTGAATTTCCATTCCAGCTCTACCACTATTCGATTGAGTGCCCTTAGGAAAATCACTTTACTACCATCTATGCCAGCGGTTCTCAACACAGGGTGCTTATTAAGATACTGTTGCCTGAGCCTCAGCCCCAGCCTCAGAAGTTCCAGTTCGATTAGCCCACGGTTAGGATATCATCCCTAGGTGATTATAATGGGCAGTCAGTGTTAAGAACCACAAAACCTGCAGTTCCTAATCACCTGAGAGGTGGTTAAAACGCACATTTCTAGCTCACCCCCCTCTCCCACTCCCTGAGTCTGATTTAGGATACTCAATTAGAGACCAAGCATTTTCCATTTTAATGAAGCTGAAACTGGTGGTCCAGGTAACAGTCTTTGAGAAATATTGATTTTATAAAAGAGGCGGCTATATGATATGATCTCTCGGGTCCATCTCATGGCTAATGTTTGATCATTGGAGTTGCTGCCCTTCAGAAGAAGTGGATAATCCCAATGCTTTGTGCCTGTTTAGTCTTAAGAAAGGTAGGTTTTCTTTATCTTAAAATAAAGGACTTGTCTGTTTTTTTGCTGACTACCTTCTGTAAGGTTCTTATATTGGTTCGAACCTCGAGAGCGCGCCAACAGACAACACGGTGTGGAGCAACATGGTGTTTTAATGAGAGCCTGGGTACAGGGAGGCTGAGGCCTAAAATGGCATCAGCCCCAAGTGAGGACAGGGCAAAGGTTTTATAGTCTCATGTAAACAGGAAGTGTCCTAGTCTGATGTAATTGTATCCGGATGGCCTCTTTCTAAACCTTCAGGGGTACGTGTCTTCCGGCCAGAGTAGGTATCCTCCGGCCGGCTCTCTTCCTGCTTCTATCTTGCTGTCAGCACACTGCTGGAGCAAGCAGCCTTGTGCCTTGGGACTGGGCCTGAGAAGGGAGGAGTTATTCATCTCCCTAAGCTTTCAGGCCCCAGGGAGAATCTTACACCTTCCTCTCCCCAAAAATGGAAGCACTTGATCTATGTGGATGAACTCAACCTCTCCTCCTGTTGCCACACCCTCTTCCACTCTATAGAGATTTTGGAACCAGTACTATGGGCAATAGGATTTAAGAAGCACTGAACACCATGGGACTCAGCACCAAGCTGCTTCTTTGTTCACCCCCATCTTGGACTAACATTGCTGCTCCAGTTACTGGACTTTCACCCTGACCACTCAAGATCAAGCCCTCCCACCTGGGACCTTAATTCTGTCATTGGACCCTGACATTGCTGCCTATGCCTGGTTTATTTGAATCATTGTCTTTAAAACGGCTGAGATCCAGGCCATCTTGCCACCTTCCACAGTAGTGTGTCGTGCCATCTAGAGACTCCTTCTCCCAGATTTGACCCGGTGCTTCATATCCCTGATTTCCACCACATGCTTGTTTCCCTTGCTAGGGCCTCTCTGATACTAAATGAGTGCCTAGATTACCTCCTATTATGGTCATCCTTGTTGACTCCTGGGTCCACATATTGCCCAGTAAATCTGACTTCTTTCTGCCACCCACTCACTGCTGGTGTTTGTTCCAGGTCCCCATGGCTCCCAATTCACCATATTGCTAGACTTCTATGAACCCTTGCTACCTACCTAGAACTGTGCTAAGAAAATTGCATTTGCTATCTCATTTATCCTCATAAAACCCAAATAAGCTACATATTAATTTAATCCTCATTTTACAAATGAGGAAACTGGGAGTGCTTAAAGTTGTTAAGATTACACAGGCTGAAAACTAAACTCTCAGTACACTGCAAACATAACGCGACAAAAACAAGCACACAGGCGCCTTCCATCTGCTGAAACCAAGCCTGGCTTTGTGATATTGTGAAGTTAGGAGTTCACTTTCAGAATCCTGGCTTTTTAGAATCTTTCTCCCCACCACATAGATACCTGAAAGCACGTGCCTTTAAGATCTGGCTTCATCACAACCCACCTCACCAACACCTGCTTGGAGAAAGGACTCAGCATCATTTAATAATTTTCAATATATTGAAGTAAATAGGTTTGTTTCTCTCCAAAGAATATTCACTCCAAGCCTAAAATCATAATGCAAACAAATGCATATTTCTTCTTTAAAGAATTTTATACATCAGCAATTAGATATCCTGCAAGACAGCAGGAAACCTTCAGATCTTATTATGTAGGTGGCCAGCCCAATATGTGTGGTGAGATCTTGGCAAAGCCCAGGCAGGACAGAGATTACAGAAAAACAGTTCAGGGAGATTGGTTTGGTACTCAACAATTTTAATGATTTTATATAGTTACCTATTGCTACCAAAACAAATGACCACAAACACTAAAGTCAAGATCTCAGCAGGGCTGATTCCTATAGGCTCTGGGGGAGAACCATCCCTTTGCATTTCCCAGATTCTAGAGGCTGCCCACATTCCTTCACTCATGGCTGCATCACTCCAACCTCTGCTTCTAGCCTCACATCTCCTCTAACTCTCCTGCCTCCCTATTCCCCTATAAGGACACTGTGATTACAGTGGGTACACCCAGATAATCCAGGATAATCTCTCCATCTCAGGATCTTTAATTTAGCCACATCTGCAAAGTCATTTTTGCCATTTAAACTTGCATATTCACAAAGAATGTGAACATCTTGGTGGTGGTGGGGCATTATTTTGCCTACAACAGACTTAATGACTCAAATATAGGGGACAATCAAGGACAGAGGGAAATGGAAAGTATTAGGACGCTTTTATTAATTCATATGACAATGACCGAAAGTCAACTGAAATTGGCTTACTTAGGCCAGAAAGGAGAATTTGGGGTCACCCATAAGCAAGCCAACAAAAGGGAGGGGTGGGAACACAGCCTCCAGGATAACTGGATATGGGCCTCCAATACTAACAACTCCCTGTTTCTTGATTTTTGTCTTTTCTGCATCTTATTGCCAGCTGCTCCTCAATGCTGGACCATTAACAAAAGTAGATCTAAGTGTGCACCCTTCAGCTTCACGACCAGGGAAACACAGTGTCCTTCCTCTAGCTCCAGCAAGAAAAAATCTCAGCAAGTTCCCTCATTGGCCAGGATTGTATCCTATGCCCATCACTGAGCCAACCAACAAAGTTGATTGAACATTGGGATTGATCTACTCAGGCCATTTCATGCCCCACAAGCACTGTGATTTACAGCCCTCACCAGAACCACCATGTTAGACATAAGAAAGAGTTCCTCAAGTGAAAAAGGGACTTGGAAAGTGATAAATGCCCACTGAGAGGATGGCAAACTTTTGCAGCGTTAATTCCTCTCAAACTGAGAACTGAATAAAAACTAGCAAGAAAAATGAATTTTTAGTCTGGAAAACATTGTGAGACTCTGTCTCTACAAAAAAATATTAAACATTAGCCAGGCACAGTGGTATACGCCTGTGTAGTCCCAGCTACTCAGGAGGCTAAGGCGGGAGGATCACTTTACCCAGGGGTTTGAGGCTCCATCAAGCTATGATTATGCCACTGCACTCTAGCCTGGTGACAGTAAGACTTTGTCTCTAAAAAGAAAGAAAAAAATGAGTGAGCTGAGACTTCTGAGAATTTTTGCCACTGATAAAAGTTAAGTATGGCGCTACTGTCTTAGTTAAATCATTTGTATCCTGAGGAAACCAAAAAACTTACTGCACAATCTTTCCCACCAGGCTGTAACCTACATCCTGAGACTGTTTTCCTGATAGTTTCTCTACTCAGACTGAGAGGTAGCAAACAACCTAGTGGATTATTTAAATCAAAAATCTATCCCTTCTCTGGATCTACCACTTATAAAATGAGGGCATTGGATCGAATGAAGTTGGCAGCTCCTCTCTGCTCATAAAGAACATGGTGCTGTGATTTCCTAACTATCCAGATAGGCTCTCTTTTAGGTGCACGTTTTTAGGTCTTTCCGAGGGTGATGGTAGTGGTGTCAATCCCAGTTGAATTGCCTGATTTTTTCCCTTTTTTTTTTTTTCTTTCTGATACTCAGTCTCGCTCTGTCACCCAGGCTAGAGTGCAGTGGTGTGGCATGATCTTGGCTCACTGCAACCTCTGTCTCCCAGGTTCAAGCAATTCTCTGCCTCAGCCTCCTGAGTAGCTAGGATTATAGGCACCCGCCACCACACCCAGCTAATTTTTTTGTATTTTTAGTAGAGACGGGGTTTCCCCATCTTGGCCAGGCTGGTCTTGAACTCCTGACCTCATCATCCACCCACCTCAACCTCCCAAAGTGCTTGGATTACAGGCGTGAGCCACCATGCCCGGCCCTGACTTCTTTTTATGTGTCAGATGCCAGGAATTGCTGGTAGACTCTTCACCATCTAGCTGAGCAGGAAATGCTGTGGCCAGAGTGATTAAACCAAAGAGTATCTTGAAGGTGAATTCCCACTTTTCCTTTCCAGTTAAATAACTGAGGCGTGTCACTGTTTCGTCAATATTAGGCACACAGCTCCAATTAGACCTCTGAAGACATTCTCTCAAGTCAACAGTGTAAGCAGTCCTCACTGCTTCTCTTTTGAACTGGGTCTGTTTGGACTGCCATGTGACCCACAGCTTTGTAACAGCTCCTGGGTTATTTCCCATTCACATGAACTTTTCAAGTGAAAGAAAACTAAATTACCTCAATTTTTAACCCAGCCTTGCAAATTAGCCACTTGTCAGATGCCAACAATGGCATAGGCCAATGCAAAGTTAAGCCTTGTGAAAAGGAATTATTTTTTTCCCCTCTTTAGCTTTCCCTTGAGACAAAATAGCAGCTCAAACCTTTGGCACTATTAAATCCTAAAAGTCATCTGCCAGGAGGTTTGAGCTAGAAAGGAGAAGACACCTTTCTCCTAAACTGCTAAGGTAGTTCTGTATGGCTACCTTTTCACCTATTCATGTCCCGGTCCATCAGTTGGCAAGGACCACATTATGTCTTGCTTTGTGTCATTTTGTTTTCCAAGCCCACACCAAAGGGACGGGAAGGATATGTAAAAAGTAGGGTAGTAGTCACTTAAAAAAAAGATAGCATTTTTTTGCTTCTGCTTTTCTTCCATTTTGAAGAAACAAAACCTTCTCCCAAATAATTCAGGGGATCCTGAGGGGCATTTCTCATGGGCTCAGTCTCCACATACCCACCATGTTTCTCGAATCCTTATCTGCCTGTTTGGCCCTGCAGATGAGCTTTCATCTCCTGTATCTCTCTCTCTCTCTCTCTTTCATTTTTCTCTTTCTCTCCCTCTTCTCTCTCTCTTTAGTGTCTCTCTTTAGTCTCTCTCTCTCCTCTCTCCTCTCTCTGCAGCTTTAGGCTTGCTGTCTGGCTTCCTGATTAAGCCAATATGTCTCCCCTACATCAGCATGTGTTTCAATAGTGTTATTCCAGGTAAGTGTAACAATTATTTTTCCACCCCTACGAAGGTCTCTCTTTGCTGAAAAATGCCTCTGAAACTCTTACATAAATTCCAGTAAGCTCTGTTATTATTTACTTCATACAAGAGGAGGCACTGCATTGTACTCAAAATCACTCTTCCTCTCTGATTTGCCCAATTTTCCTACGAATAAACTTGTAATTCTTCCTTTGATGCAATTTATTTTCTAATACCTAATGTTCTACTTATCTGATCTTTAAGACATGCCCAGCTTCGTCTGAATCTCAGGGTGAACACAGCAAACATGGGCTGAGAAATCAATATTCCCAGTACATGATTAGTTCCCAAAGTTCTCAGAACTTGCTTTCTCATAAAGAAAAAAAAAATCCTACATATTGGCTTATAGTTGACATATATTCATCACCATTATATAAAGAATGCCTTCTATGGTTCACACACATACTGAGCAGCAAATGGAGACATAGTGTTGAAAAAGACAATAAACCATGCCTTCACTCAACAAACTATAGTTCATTAGAAGAGACAAAACAGACCTAGAAACCGTTAGTTGTAATAGTGTAACAAGTGCTACATAAATTTATGTTCTAAGTATAGTGGTAGCCCCAAGTCTGCAGATCAACTCTGCTTGTAAGTGGAGAATTGGGGGAGAATGTGGAGTTTCAACTGTAGTGCAAAGGACCATGGCTGGTCAGGAGGTGTGGGTGGGTAAGTGGTATAGACAAAAGCAAGAAGGCAAAGCTCAACAAAGCTTGCTCATGGACAGGTAAGTAGGTGTAGCTCAAGTACAGGGCATGAAAATTGTGGGGTCAGAGAAGATCAAGCCACAGGAGTAGACAGAAAGCATACTGTGGGGAGTCTTTTTTCTCATACTAAGGAGCTGAACTTCATCCTTTCTACAATGGAGAGCCACTGAAGGATTTTAAGAAGAGAGGAGTGGGTGTGGCAAGTGGGTGGAGGCTAGCTTCAGGAGATGGTTTTATGGAGCAAGAGTATGACAGACAAGTTGGGTTGGAACCAGATCACTAAGGTGGATGTGCAAGTACGGAAGAGTCCGAAAACATCTCCTTAGGTATTTGTGTTGATCTCTTCAGCTTGCTTGCCATCACTTTAGGGTTCACACTGTGCCTGTCTTTAAAGATCCTTTCCTTGGTTTTCTGTGATGACTATAACACTGAGCCTCAGAAAGAAGAGTTTTGCCAGAGGCCCTTATAATAATAAATGGCCAGTATGGTCCACTACCCTTTGCTTGCCTGGCACCAATATGGAAAGTCAGTGTTGAGACATGCTTGTATTGCACCAGTTCTCTTACACACCTTTGCTTTCATCATTATATTTTTCTCTCGCTGACCTCAGCCTAGACAAGGAAGGAAGAAAGTGAGCACCAGATGGTGTTTTTAAGTACATGGCTCCCAGTGCCCCAGGAAGGGTTCCAGCATCCTCTTTGAGCTTATTTGTAGGTCTCTGGGAGCCCATGCCCCAGGTCATTCACAGCTCTACCTTCCAGCCATTTAGATAGCAACTAAAATGCAGCCACTCTTACTGTGACAATCTTTCAACATGCAAAAAAAAAAAAAAAAAAAAATGTGATCCAGTTTCTACAAGATACTGAAGAATCAGAGCTTAAAAAGTGATCCGATATATAGAATGACACCCAAGCTTATCAAACTTCTGGGATTCTAGTTGCTTTACTTGTGAAATATAAAATCTCAGAGTTGGATTTCTATCTTAAACATCATCTAGTCTACTGGTTCTAAAACATGGCTGTGATTTTTAATCACTGTAGAAAAAATTTATAGAATTTTTTTTGTCTCTACCTTCAGTTATTTTGACTTGGCCAGTCTTGGAATGGGGCCCAAATATTTGTGTTTCTGACAGCTAAATAACTGATTTTTATATGCAGTCATGTTTGGGAACTTCTGGTTACCCGTGTTTGAATTCCACCTCAAATATCCCTTCCAATTCATTGATCAGCATCTGCTAAAAGCCTTCCTGCAACAAGAACCTCACTTGCACCCTCCATGATCCACTTCCTATTTAATGGTCCAGCTTGGCCCATTCTGAAGTACTATTTCATGTAACCAGAAAATGAAAGGGCCCCCTTTCTGTCCTCAGGAAGAGAGGAGGTTATCAGGGGAATCAAAGAAATCTGGCCTGCAGTCCCCGGTGCCAGGGAAGACATCTAATGATCTGTGGTCTTCTCCACATGGTTGACTCCAAGGGGAAGGTGAGTGCTCCCTCTACCACCTGCCATGCCTCCCCAGAACAGCATCAGGTGGCCTGATGTTCCTATCTGGAACTGCTTCATTCGTGAATAATTCCACAACTCTCTTTGCTAGAAAAAAAAAAAACAGATATGGAAGAGAAATGTAAGCAGTTCTTTTACTGATGATGCAGACAAGCACCAAAGCAATACAGACAGGAGGTTGTGACTTAGTCTGAATTGTTCATGCCTTTCAGAGGAAATGGTAAATTGCTTACAGTTGGGGCTTGCTTTGGTTGTGCATGTAAATGTTCTCTAGCTCTTCATCTTCTCTCTTCTCAGTGATCCTCTTGCTAGTCCCTCTTATTGTCTTCCTCCTGCAGCCACACCTCAAACCTCCCTCCTGGGGTGTTACCACCCCCTTCCTGTGTGAAACTGCCACAATCTCTACCTCATAAAAAAATCCTAGCCTCCTCTGACTCCTCGGGTTTTCTCCATATGCTAATGGAGGCTTCCCTCTGTTCAGGCTTTGCAAGTTCAGAAGGGAGCAAGAAAGGCTTGGGACCTGAGAATGGGAGAAAAAGGGAGGGGTACTCCCTGTTGCATCTCATTACCTGCTTTCAGTAAGAGTTGTAGCCAGTGTACAACCGAATTTCTTAAGGGCATGCAACCTCACCTTAGCAACTGTTCATTTTCTTCCTAAAACAACATGGTCTAGTTGCATAAGTCTTCCATTAACACAACTTTGACTAAATCTATTATGAAATATAAGATTATGGACATTATTGAACCAAGGAGCATTTTAGCACCTTTCTTACACCTTATGTCTGCTTATGAGAACCATCACATTGACGGAGTGTTGAGTGCATAAGTGGCACCATTCCCAAAGATTTTTTTTTCTGATTCCCAAATTGTTCTCCTGATAGAAAGTAGTGGTAGATCAGTTCACTCCCACCTATGTTAACGTGAAATTTCTCTTCCAGTGTTGTCTGCCCTTTGTTTAATCAGGAGAACAATAAAGCACCATCCATCATAGAGATACAAACAATTTATCAAAGCCATGTTCTTTTGAGGAGATAGCGTAACAAAGGAGAGCTTCTATACCTTCCTTTGGCACAATCACCACTCTCAGAGACAAAATACAAAACTGAATAGACAACTATTTTCAGTTCAGGAATTTTTCACACTCTCCTCTAAATGGCATTAGGGGAGACAGGGAGCAAGATGGATGAATAGAAGCCTCTACTGATTGTCATTCCCACAGGAACACCAAATTGAACAAAAATCAAAATGAAAACAAACAAAAAGACACCTTCATAAGAACCTAAAATCAGGTGAGCTATCATAGTACTTGGTTGTAACATCATATTAAGGAAAAGGCACTGAAGAGAATAGATAAGATTTTTTTTGTTTTTGTTTTTATTTTTTTTGAGAGGGAGCCTCGCTCTGTCGCCAGGCTGGAGTGTAGTGGCACAATCTTGGTTCAATGCAACCTCCACTTCCCGGGTTCAAGCGATTCTCCTACCTTAGCCTCCCGAGTAGCTGGGACTACAGGCACGGACCACCATGCCCAGCTAATTTTTGTATTTTTAGTCGAGACAGGGTTTCACCATGTTGGCCAGGATGGTCTCGATCTCTCGACCTCATGATCTGCCCGCCTCAGCCACCCAAAGTGCTGGATTATAGGCGTGAGCCACCGCGGCAGGCGGATAAGATGGTCTTGGATTGCCAATGCCACCCCTCCTCCATCCCTCAGCAGCAGCTGTATGGTGTGGAGAGAGAATTTGTGCACTCCAGGGGGTGTGGTGGGGGGGGGGGTGGTTGGAGGAGGGAGAGCACAGTGATTGTGAAACTTTGCATTGGAACTCAGTGTGCCCTGTCACAGCAGAAAGCAGCATGGGGCAAAACTCAGCTGATGCTCATAGAGGGAACATTTAAACCAGCCTTAATGAAAGGAGAATCACCCATCCCAGCAGTCAGAACCTGCGTTCTGGCAAGCCTTGACACCACAGGCTAAAGCGATCTGGGGTCCTAAATAAACTTGAAAGGCAGCCTAGGCCACAGGGTCTGCAGTTTCCATCCTGATGCTGTGTAGGGCTTGGAGCCAGTGGACTTGGCGTGCATGTGACCCAGTAAGACACCAGCCAGGGTGGCCAAGGGAGTGCTTGCACCACCACTTACTCAACTGCAGGCAGTGCAGCTCACAGCTCTGAGAGAGACTCCTTCCTTCCACTTGTGAAGAAGAGAGAAGGGTAAAAAGGACTGTGTCTTACAACTTGGATACCAGCTCAGCCACAGTAGAATAGGGCACCGGGCAAAGTCCTGAGGCCGCCATTCCAGCCCCTGACTTCCAGACAGCACTTCTAGACACACCCTGGAACAGAATGGAACACATTTGAAGGGAAGGACCCAGTCCTGGCAGGATTCATCACCTGCTAACTAAAGAGCCCTTGGGCCCTGATCAGCAGTGGTATTTAGGCAGTATTTGCTGTAGGCCTTGGGTGAGACTCAAAGATATGCTAATTTCAGGTGTGACCCAAGACATTCCAAGCTGTGACCCCTTCTGCTTGACGAAAGGAGAGAGAGGAGTAAAGGGGGCTTTGTCTTGCAGTGTAGGTACCAGTTCAAATGCAGTGGAGTAGAGCACCAAGTGAGCCTTTGGGGTCCTGATTCCAGGTCTTTACCCTTGAATGACATTTTTGGACATGCCCTGGGCCAGAGGGGAGCCTGATGCCCTGAAAGGAGACTCACAGGCCTGGCAGCATTCACCACAAGCTGACTGAAAAGCCCTGGGTCCCTGAGTGAACATCAGTGGCCAAGGCAGTACTCACCATGGGCCTTAGGCAGTCATGACCATGGGGAGAGACTCCCTGCTTCTAGTAAGAAGGAAGAGTGAGAAGGACTTTGTCTTATGGTTTGGGTGGCAGCTCAGCCACAGTAGAATACAGCACAAGGTAGGTTCCTAAGGTTCCCAGCTCCAGGCCCTGGCTCCCATATGGCATCTCTAAACACACCCAGGACCAGGAAAAACTTGCCACCCTGAAGGGAAAGACACAGCCTGGCTGGCTTCACCATCTGCTAATTGTAGAGCCCTAGGGCCTTGAGCAAACATAGGGAGTTGTCAGGCAGTGGTTATCACAGGCCCTGGGTGAGACCCAGTGCTGTGCTGGCTTCAGATCTGACCAGACATGGTCCCATGTGTTGGCCACATGGGTGCTTTTGTTACCTATCCCCCAGCTCAAAACCGTTCAGGAGAGATAGAGATAGAGAGAGAGAGAGAGAGACAGAGACAGAGACAGAGAGACAGACAGACAGACAGACTCCATTTATTTGGGGAAAGGGAAGGGAAGGGAACAAGAGTCTCTGCCTGGTAATCCAACGAATTCACCCAGTTCCTACCCAAGGCAGTACCTCATGAGTCTGCAAGAGTCACAGTGTTACTGCATGGCTTGGTGTGCCCAACTGAAGCAGATATGGCTGCAGCAACCAAAGACTTAGATTGCAACACCCAATTACATTTGAATATCTGGAAAACCTTCCCAAGAAGGATAGGTCCAAACCAAAACTGCAAAGACTACAATAAATACCTAACTCTTTGATGCCCAGACATTGATGAACACTTAGAAGCATTAAGACAATCCAGAAAACATGACCTCACCTAACAAGCTAAGTAAAGCACCAGTGACCAATCCTGGAGAGACAGAGATATGTCATCTTTCAGACAAAGAATTCAAAATAGCTCTTTTGAGGAAACTCAGCAAAATCCAAGATAACACAGAGAATGAATTCAGAATCCTATCAGATAAATTGAACAAAGAGATAGAAGTAATTTTAAAGAATCAAGCAGAAACTCTGGAATTAAAAAAATACAATTGACATACTGAAGAACGCATGAGTCTCTTAACAGCAGACTAGATCAAGCAGAAAAAAGAATTAGTGAGTTGAAGACAGGCTATTTAAAAAAAAAACACAGTCAGAGGAGACAAAAAAAGAATTAAAAAGAATGAAGCACTCCTACAAGAACTGGAAAATAACCTCAAAAGGGCAAATATAATAGTTATTGGCCTCAAAGAGGAGAAAGAGAGAGAGATGGGGGTAAATGTGTAATTACAAGAAGGTAATAGAACACTCAGCAGATTTAATCCAAGTAGGAATACCTCAAGACATTTAATAATCAAACTCCCAAAGGTCAAGGATAAAGAAACGACCCTAAAACAGATAGAAAAGAAACAAATAACATACAAAGGAGCTCCAATATGTCTGGCAGCAGACTTCTCAGTGGAAACCTTACAGACCAAGAGAGAGTGGCATGACATATTTAAAGTTCTGAAAGAAAAAACCTTTTATCCTAGAATAGTACATCCAACCAAAATATCCTTCAAGCTTGAAGGAGAAATAGACTTTCCCAGACAAACAAAAGCCGTGGGATTTCATCAACACCAGACCTATGCTACAAGAAATGCTAAAGGAAATCACTCAATCTGAAAGAAAAGGATGTTAATGAGCAATAAAAAATCATCCAAAGGTATGAAACTCACTGGTAATAGTAAGTCCACAGAAAAACACAGAACACTGTAATTGTGATGTGTAAACTACTCAAATATTACATGGAAAGACTAAAAGATGAACCAATCAAAAATAGTAACTACAACTTTTCAAGACAGAGACAGTCAAATAAAATATAAATAGAAACAACAAAAAGTTAAAAAGCAGAGTAGGCGACAAAGGACAAAGTTAGTGTATATTTTTTATTAGTTTCCTTATTCTTAGTTTCTTTTTTAATGCAATCAATGTCATCAGTTTAAAATGATGAGCTATGTTACTTGCAAGCCTCATAGTAACTTTGAATTAAAAAATATACAAAAGATACACAAAAATAAAAAAGCAAGAAATTAAAACATTTCACCTGAGAAAATCACCATCACTAAAAGGGAGATAGGAAGGAAGGAAAGAAAGAAGGACGAAGAGAAGACCACAAAACAAGTAGAAAAGAAACAACAAAATGGCAGGAGTAAGTCCTTACTTATCAATACTAACTGAATGTAAATGGACTAAATTTTCATTCTGCTGGAACTTGAGGGGAAAAAAGGAAAAAGAAATAAACATATAAATAAATGAACTAAACTCTTTAATTAAAAGACATAGAGTGGCTGAATGGATTTAAAAAAAAAAAAAAAAGAAAAAAAAAAAAAACACACAAGACCCAGCAGTCTGTTTTCTACAAGAAACCAAGAAACACACTTCACCTATAAGGACACACATAGCCTGAAAATAGAGGATAGAAAAAGACATTCCATGCAAATGGAAACCAAAAGGAGCACAAGCATCTATACTTACATTAGACAAAATAGATTTCAAGACAAAAACTGTAAGAAGAGACAAAGAAGGTCGTTATATAATAATGTGGTCAATTCAGCAAGAGGATATAATAATTGTAAATATATATGCACCCAACACTGGAGCACCATATATATAAAGCAAATATTACTAGAGCTAAAGAGAGATATATACCCCAAAACAATAACAGCTGGAGAGTTCAACAACTCATTTTCAGCACTGATTAGATCATCCAGACAGAAAATCAACAAAGAAACATCAAACTTAATCTACGCTATAGATCAAATGGACCTAACAGATATTTAGCAAACATTTTATCCAATGGCTACAGAATATAAACTCTTCTCCTCAGCATATAGATTATTCTCAAGGAGAGAAGATATGTTAGGCCACAAAATATGTTTTTTAAAAATAAAAAAATGAAATTATATCAAATGTCTTCTCTAACCACAGTGGAATAAAACTAGAAATCTGTAACAACAGGAATTTTGGAAATAATACAAACACATGGAAATTCATACGCTCCTAAATGAACACTGAGAACATGGAAATTAAGGACATTTAAAAATTTTCTTGAAACATGTCATAATAGAAACAAAACATACCAAATTCTATGGAGTACAGCACAAGCTGTATACTTTACTAAGAGGAAAGTTTATAGCTATAAGCACCTACATCAAAAAATTAGAAAATTTTCAAACAAAAAACCTAACTATGCATCTTAAAGAACTAGAAAAGCAAGAGCAAATCGAGCCCAAAATTAGTACAAGAAGAGAGATTATAAATACAAAGCAGAAATAAATGAAATTGAAATGAAAACAATACAAAAGATTAATGAAAAAAAGTTGATTTTTTGAAAGGAGAAACAAATTTGATAAACCTTTAACCATACTAAGAAAATAGAGAGAAGACCCAAATAAATACAATGAGAGATGAAAAAGGAGACATTACAATCAATATGACAAAAATTCAAAGGATCTTTAGAGGCTAGTATGAGCAATTACATGCCAATAAATTAGAGAACCTAGAAGAAATGAATAAATTCCTGGATACATATGACCTACCAAGATTGAACCATGAAGAAATCCAAAACCTGAACAGACCAGTAACAAGTAATGAAATCAAAGCCATAATAAAAATTATCTCAGCAAAGAGATCTCAGCAAAGCCCAGGACCTGAAGGCTTCATTGCTGAATTTTACCAAACATTTAAAAAAGAACTAATACCAACCCTACTCAAACTGTTCTGAAAAATAGAGGAGGAGAGAATACTTCTAAATTCATTTTATGAGGCCAGTATGACCCTGATAGCAAAACCAGACAAAGACACATCAAAAAAAGAAAACAACAGGCCAATATCCCAGTGAACATTGATGCAAAAATCCTGAATGAAATACTAGCGAATCAAATTCAAAAACACATTAGAAAGATCATTCATCATGACCAAGAAGGATTTATCCCCGGGATGCAAGAATATTTCAACATATGCAAATCAATCAATGTGATATAGCGTATCAATAGAATGAAGGATAAAAACCTTATGATCATTTCAATTGATGCTGAAAAAGCATTTGATAAAATTCAACATCACTTCATGATAAAAACTCACAAAAACTGCATACAGAAGGAACATACCTCAACACAATAAAAGTCAATATAACAGACCCACAGCCAGTATCATACTGAATGGGGAAAAACTGAATGCCTTTTCTTGAAGATGTGGAACAAGACAAGGATGCTCACTGTCACCGTTGTTATTCAACATAGTACTGGAAGTCCTGGATAGAGAAATTACACAAGAAAAAGAAATAAAAGGCATCCAAATCGGAAAGGAAGAAGTCAAATTATCCTTGTTTGCAGAAAATACAATCTTATATTTGGGAAAACCTAAAGACTCTATCAAATAACTATTAGAACTGACAAATTCAGTAAAGTTGTAGGACACAAAATTAACATACAAAAAAATAGCATTTTTATATGCCAGCAGTAAATAATCTGAAAAAGAAATCAAAGTAATCTCAAGTAGCTATGAATAAAATTAAATAAAGTAAAAGATCTCTACCAGGAAAATTGCAAAATATTTATGAAAGAAATTAAAGAGAACACAAAAATGGAAAAAAATTTTTATATTCATGGATTAGAAGAATCAATATTGTTAAAATGTCTATACTACCCAAAGCAATCTACAGATTCAATGCAGTCCCTATCAAAATACATTCTTAACATGAATAGAAAAAAAATCTTAACATTTATGTGGAACCACAAAAGACCCAGAATAACCAAAGCTATCCTGAGCAAAAAGAATACAACGAGGAGGCTGGGGGTGGTGGCTCATACTTGTAATCCCAGCACTTTGGGAGGTCAAGACGAGAGGATCACTTGAGGTCAGGAGTTTCAGACCAGCCTGGACAACATGGTGAAACCCCATCCCTACTAAAAATACAAAAAAAATTAGCCGGGCATGGTAGCAGGTGCCTGTAATCCCAGCTACTCAGGAGGCTGAGGCATGAGAATCACTTGAACTGGGAAGATGGAGGTTGCAGTGAGCCGAGATTGTGCCACTGCACTCTAATCTGGGCGATAGAGCAAGACTCCATAAAATAAATAAATAAATAAATAAATAAATAAATAAATAAATAAATAAATAAAAGAAAAGAAAGAAAGAAAAGAAAAGAAAAAGAACACGATGAGGAATCACATTACCTGACTTCAAATTATACTACAGAGCTATAGCAACCAAAATAGCATGGTATTGGCATAAAAACAGACACATAGACCAATGGAATAGAATAGAGAACCCAGAAAAATATCCATACATTTACAGTGAACTCATTTTTGACAAAGGTACCAAGAACACATATTGGGAAAAGACAGTCTCTTCAATAAATGATGCTGGAGAAACTGAATCTCCATATGCAGAAGAATGAAGCTAGACCCCTATCTCTTGCCACATACAAAAATCAAATCAAAATGGATTAAAGACTTAAATATAAGACCTCAATCTATGAGTCTACTACAAGAGAACATTGGGAAAACTCTCCAGGACATTGGACTAGGCAAAGATTTCTTGAGTAATACCTCACAAGCACAGGCAACCAAAGCAGAAGTGAACAAATGAGATCATATCAAATTTAAAAAGCTTGGCACAGCAAAGGATACAGTCGACAAAGTGAAGAGACAACTCACAGATGGGAGAAAATATTCACAAACTCTCCATCTGACAAAGAATTAATAACCAGTATATATAAGGAGCTCAAACAACTCAATAGGAAAAAAATCTAATAATCCAATTTTAAAATGGGCAAAAAACCTCAATAGCCATATCTCAAGAAAAGACATACAAGCAGTCATATCAAAAGGTGCTCAGTAACACTGACTATCATAGAAATGCAAGTCAAAACTACAATGAGATATCATCTCACCCCAGTTAAAATGGTTTTTATCCAAAAGACAAGCAATAACAAATGCTGGTGAAAATGGGAAGAAAAGGGAACCTGGATAAACTGTTGGTGGGAATGTAAACTAGTACAACCACTACAGAGAACAGTTTGGAGGCTCCTCAAAAAACTAAAAATAGATCTACCGTTGTGATCCAGCAATCCACTGCTAGGTATATACCCAAAAGAAAGGAAATCAGTATATTGAAGATATATCTGCAGTCCCATGTTTATTACAGCAACTATTCACAATAACCAAGATTTGGAATTAACTTAAGTGTCCATCAACAGATGAATGAATAAAGAAAGTGTGGTACGTATACAAAACAGAGTAGTATTCAGCCATAAAAAAGAATGAAAGCCTGTCATTTGCAATAACATAGATGGAACTGGAGGTCACTGTGTTAAGTGAAATAAGGCAGGGACAGAAAGACTTTGCCTTTTCTTAATTATTTGTGGAAGCTAGAAATTAAAACAATTGAACTCATGGAGATAGAGGGTAGAATGATGGTAACTAGAGGCTAGAAAGGGTTGTGGGGTTGGGGGAAGTGGAGATATTTAATGTGTACATAAATATAATTAGCTATAATGAAGAAGATACAGTATTTTGTAACACAACAGGTGACTACAGTCAACAATAATTTATTGTATATTTTGAAATAACTAAAATTGTATAATTGGATTGTTTGTAACACAAAGAAAGGATAAATGCTTGAGGCAATGGATACCCCATTTACCCTTATGTGATTATTACACATTGTATGCCTGTATCAAAATACCTCATGTACCCCCTAAACATATACACTTACTATGTACCCACAAAAATTAAAAATAAAAATTTTAAAATAATAAATAAATAGCATTAAGCTTCATGTTTAAGATCCATATGCTTTTGAGACTTTTTCCATTACACCAAGAGCTTCTTGAGATGAGGAATGCTGTCTTTTTCATGATAGTCTGACCTGGGACACAGAGAGCCCAGCACACATGAAGGGTTCAGGGAGTGATTACTGGAATGGAATTAATGAAAGTAAGCATGAATAGATGGACAGACGGACGCCATGAGCCTAATGGGGTCCTGCAGTACAAGTACACACTAAGCTTATTCTGCAGGTTTGAAAATGTGATTGCCCAGCTAAGATTAAAGATGAAGAGTGGGCCCTGGTCTTAACTTAGGAGATGTGATTGCCTTGTTCTGTTGGTTTTAGCTATTGCCCAAACCAAGCAAAAGCAGGTCCTACTCATAAACATAATTATGCCAGATGGCGAAGTGATTAAACAGGCCATCTGACAATATCTATTCATCTTAGTTAGGGCATAGCTTAAAGATGACTGTCTGAAATTCAGTCTGATCACAACCAGAAGCAATGGAAACTGCCAAATACACTGTTTCATAGCTAAGAACGTGAGTCTGGGATGACTGTAATGTCTTTTAAAAACACACTTCAGAAGAAAATTGATCTCATTTGTTATGGTATCATTTGAGGAAGTTCCAAACTACAGGACATAAATATGGAAAATGACAAAATCAATCAAAAGTTGATGATATAGAAAGAAATTAGGGTCCACCCTGTATCTCTTAAGGCTTAGAATTTTTTAAAGAGAAATGAGAGTCTGCATAACTATTATGTTTTATTTTTTTTCCCCTACAGTGCCAAAATCCATGATTTTCTAAAATAAACAGTGTATTTACTTTTTTGGTCCTGTTCAAGCTCAGCCACTTACCAACTGCGTACGACCTAGGGCAAAGTAATTAATCATTTTGAAACTCAACTTTGCAATGCATTAAAAAAGTAAGAAAAATGCACAACCTAGTGAATCAGAAAATGAAATGTGTTCATTAAAGAGATATGTAAATCATCAGTGCCAGGCACTCTTCTAAGTCATCTGCATACAGTAACTTCTTTAACCTGGTTGAGACGAGTGCTATTACACAAGAGGGTTCTGCAACACTAAGACGTTATATAACTTCCTTGAGGTCACGTGGGAGCAAACAGATCATTTGCCATTTGAAAAATAGGTAGTCTTTCCCAGATCTCTCTGCTGTACTGCCTCATGTAGCTGGTTTTCCAGAAGTATTTGTTGGATGGATAGAAGAAGAAAAGAGAAGAAAGGAAGAAAGGATGGAGGGCTTAGCTGAGGGACACTTCCCAAAATCAATCAAGTAATTTCCTATTTTTTCTAATTTGGACTTATCACAAAGCCTTCTACTTATGATTTGACTTTTCTGTGCATCAGCCCATTGTGGGGATGGGTGGGGAAATTATGTAATCAGGCCAGTTCATCTGTGTATTCTACTGGAAATAAGAGTGCTCATGGCAAATTAACAAATTCACATTGATGTTTATTTACCAGTCTCTAAACTTGGTTAATGTGAGTCAATCCACAGAAGGAACCCACACTGGGAAATTGAAACTCAATTTCCCATTCCCCAGATTAGTTTTGAGACTTCCCTAGAACCTAGTATAGTTCCTTGTATGAAGTATATGCTCAATTAATATTTATTTGCATGTTGAATTGAATTGAATTTCCATTTCCTAATGCACAAAAAAAGTAAAGAAAATGCACTATCTAGTGAATGAGAGAACAAAATGTGCATGTTAAAGGGGTATGTAAATCTTCAGTGCCAGGCACTCTTCTAAGCCATCTAGGTACAGTAACTTCTTTAACATGGTTGGGATGAGTGCTATTATACAAGAGGACTCTATGGGCTTCCAACCCACATTTGGAAGACAAGCCAACTTTAAGAGCCTATAAGATTAGACTGTGGGCCATGGTGAATCTACCTTGGTAATACCAACCTTTGGAGTCTGTACAGCCTGCCAGCCTTCCTATCATAGAAAAGACACAAGCTATCCTTCCACTTCCTTTAAGGCCAGTACCTTGTTTGTGTATTACCCAACCTCTGTTGCAAAGGGCACTCACCCTGTGAGATTCTCTGTGAAGAAAGAGTCAAATAATTCACTTTAGAAAACCAAACAAATGTTTAAATCCTTAAAAAAATTATTCAGATAAAATTCAACACTTCCCAAACTTATCAACAGAACCATTTTTTTCCACATAACTTTCATTAATATATACTAGAATAGTAATTCCTCTGGCCTAATTCAGTTCAACATGCAAATAAACATTAATTGAGCATATACTTCATACAAGGGATGATACTAGTTTCCAGGAAAGTCTCAAAATTAATCTAGGAGATGGAATCTATATTTTGAATGCTCAAGGTAAGATATTTTAATCTTGTTGAATTTAATCTTCTCCAAAAAAATCTCTGAAGGAGACATTGTTAGCCTCATTTCACAGTGAGGAGACTGAGATTCAAAGAGAGGTCAAGTCTTTTGATCAGTGCCACCCAGATTTGAAGCCTGGGTTGGAAACCATGTTTGACTTCACTGTAGATTAGATACTCTTACAGTTCCTTAACATAGACCTTTTCTTAAGTAACTTGCAATATTGGGTGGAATATAAGACATGTATATGGCTGTATAACAGAAGCTAGAAAATGCAGAGAGGGACAGAAAGTGTGTTTTAAAGCATTCAGAGGAAGTTGACATTACTTTCATCTGGGAAGATTCAAGAAAGATTTTATTTGTGATGTGGCATTTGAGTGGAGCCTCAAGGGGAAATAAAAATAACACCATGTGGTAGAAATACCAAAATAAATTTGGAAAATCTTCACCTGTATCCAGAGAGAATTGCCAAAAACCTACATCAGGGTAAATGTTGCTCTCTTTGAAAAAGTAGTAAAATCCTTGTGTACCTAATATGGTGTCCAAAACATGATGGTACAGAGGTAGACAGGAAGTCCCTGACTTCAAGATGGTTCACAACGCAGTACAACAACCTTCCCTGAATACTACCACTGGAAACACAGAGGAGGTCTAGCTTGGCTTCAAGTGGAGCAAATTATAAAGAGCTTCCTGGAAGACATGGAATTTACATTGGAGAAGCATTTGCACACAAGATGCTAGAGAAGATCATTCCAAGCAACAACAACAAAAATCCATAGACAAAGTCAAAGAAATAGACAAAAATGAAACATTGAGACTAGCCAGAACAGTCTGGAATTTGGAATAAGTGCCTGTGTGGCCAAAGCACAAACAAGACAAGGCATTTGAATTCTGGATCCTCCATCGTTCTTAACCGGACCAATTCTGCATTTATGTTATACTTTGATGTTCTGTATAATGTTTTGTTTTCATTAAAAAGGGTTGTTTTGCTTAACAAACTGCTCAAAGCTGGAGCTTGGTCATAGGAATCAGTTGTTAATGGTAGAAAAGATCGGAGGAAGAACGTGACTTCCTAGGGAACTAATAGAAACGATCTCAGCTTGGGTAAAATATTAGGGTATGAGGTTCGCATTAACAGGAATTTTGTTTAATGGCCTTGAATGTCATGCCATGGATTCTTGGTTGATTTTGTAGGTAATGGGTAGCATTATTTTTTAAATAAGCGTGTAAAATAGAGAAAAGTGCCTCACAGTTGGTCATGTCCAATACTTTCTTGCTGGAGAATATTCTATGATCTGGAGCTAAGGAGTCACTCTCCCTTATAATTTTCTGTTTGTCACACTCATAATCTTTGTGTGCCAGCAAAAACAAAATGAGGCCAGGTCACAGTATTCCTGTATGTCCTTCTTTATGAGACAACAGTTACTTCTCAGCCATTATTACTCCAGCAAGAGATAGAGGACCAATGTTATAAAACAAGACTATCCAGCTAAACTAGTGAGCATCGCAGGAATATACTAGGATACAAAATTTACCATCTTTAATGTCCCTCCTCTGTATTGAATTCCTTAGATTAAAATGGAGAATAGGTATCTTTAAAAAGAAAAGAAACTGTGTAACCTAAGTTTACATTTTTCTCTATGAGAAAAGTGTTTGCTAGGGAACTAAAACTATCTCAGCGTGGGTAAAATATTATGGTATGAGCTTCCCATTAACAGGAATTTTATCTTATCTATTCTAGTATTCCCACTACCTAATTTAGTGGTGTTCCATAAATTATCATGAGTAAAAGGGTATCAGTAATGGAAAAATTCAGTGCCAGTTGGCTCTAGACACACTTTAAGAATTGCTACCAAATAACTGGGATATTGCAAGTAGGAATACAAATTGCTATTTCAGTTTCAAACAGGCTATCTCTGGGGGATGAGAAAATGTCATAATGAGTAGCAGCAGAACATCCCAGCAGGGTTCCAAAATGCTGAGATTTCAACCCATGAGCACCAATGCCAATATTAATAAAGTCACCTATATGAGAAAATTTCTTCTCTGTTTTGAAAGATCATATTCAAAGCTGAATAAAAAGCCAAAATCAGAGGACAAATGAACCAGTTTTCAATCCTAAGAAACATGAATTTTCAAGTAAAGTAAATTAACTCAAACATGAATTTTCAAGTAAAGTACATAGATTAGCTCAATAGTACAGTTTTGTCATAAAATATATTAGTTCTACAAAGAAATAGCCTGGCCAAACCACATTCCAGCTGTATAGGTGTTCTGGTTATTTACATATCATCTCTCTAACCCATACCCAGCTTCTCTATTCTCCTCTACGAGGCTGGGTATGTGCAAACTCCATTTCTGAGACTCTCCCGCCTGCTTACTTCCCGGTCGATTCTATCAACAGGAGGCACTGGCAAGAGATAAGAAGACTGGAAAAAGAGATTTCTGCTTCTGACTCTGACAGAAGGGTAGTTGCTGGAGATTGCTAAAGCGGTTTCATCTGGCTCATTCCGGATTTCTGGAATTGGCAGCCTGAGCCAATTCCAGACATAGCTGCAGCGGTACCTCATTGGTGGGTTCAGGACTGACTTCTCCAGTGTCCTTCTCCTCTGAGTATCACCTTCGCCTGCTTTTACCCTCCAGCCCTCCGATTTCTTTGTCACCAGCTTCCTGACTCTTCATGGAGCCAGTGGCTATCTGACCTTTCTGAGTTGCAGTTTCCTCAGTTCTGAAACTGGGTTAATTAATACACAGGGATAAGAGGAAATGAAATTAAGACTTACAGAAATCCTCTGCACTAGAAAGGTGGTAGTAATCCCCTATGTAATTCAAGTTTTAAAAAATAATAATAAATGTAAAAAATCCATAAAATTCTGATTTTTAACAGAACTACTATTTTAATGCTAATTTTTAAATATCAAAAAAATATACATATTGGTGCCCTTGTTTTGCTATTATCTTAATTACATACTTTGTCTACCTATTGTGTACCAACCTCTTATAGCATCCACTTTATAGGGTAGTTTGGGGGCCTGGTAATAAAGTACATAAAGCTCCTAGGACAGTGCCTATCCTGTAATAAGCACTAAATACCTGGCAGCAATCATTATTTTTGTGTAGATGATTTTAACAGCTAATCATATTTTCTCTGATACTTCCTTCACTTTCTAATATCACTGTTTGTACAACAGCTCAGATTATACCATCATTATACCTCTTCACAGCTGAGGTCTCTACCTCAAGCAGAGATCTCTACCTCAAGTAGAGATTATACAGGTAATAGCAGAAATCTCTCTTGATTCATTAAAATGTGTTACAAGCCATAAACAGGAAACACTCTTCCTAACAAAATATATATAGCCTATTTAAGCTTAAGGGGAAATTAACATTTATTGTTGCCTATTATATGTCAGGTAGTTTGCTAGGTACCTTCATCTGGATGATCTCATTTAGTCTTGTTAAACTAACTAGTCAGAAGAATATTTGCTTTATTAATTGCATGAACATAAACAAAGATAATGGGTACTGTCTATTTTAATTAACAGGTGACTAAGTATTATATTAGGAAGAGACTCACTCACGTAGCAAAGATTTACTGCATGCTTACTGAGTGCCAGAAACCAAGGATACAGAGATTAAAATAAAAAGCCACAACGGAACTGACTCTTCCCCACCCCAGCTGCTTGAATAGTGGCTGCCAAAGGCTCACAGGTGGCTTCAGCGAAGGGAAGCAGCCTCATCCAGAAAAGCCTGTGAGGTCATGCCTTCCTCCACAGCCAGCCCAGGCCAATGACATATGTGGCACAAAAAGCTCAGCCCCTTGCCTTAAGGTGGGGCAAGTCTACAGTGTTATTTACATTTCAGAGCACCCCAAGAAATCACAGTGAAGTTAGACTCCAGTGCAGCCACAACATCTTTGCTTAGCTTCTTCCTCTAGCCTGTCCCGCTTTCCTCCTTCCCTTCCAGGTTCTCCCTGAGAGCACTCCTTCAATGACTCACTCAACAAGAATCCTCATTCCAGGCTCTGCTTCTAGGGAGCCTGGCCTCATCTGTCTTCAAGAAGCTTTCTGCCTAGTAGAGAACCATACCTGCAAACATACAAACAAAATGTAAATCATAGTGTGAAGTCATGAATGTGAATGTACAAAACACGGTAAGTGCACAGAAGAAGAAGCATGGCAGAATCAGCACTCAACTCCGTGCCCATGGTACATGGGTAAAAGCAAGATTAAATATCCATCCCAAATTCAAGTACAGTAAGGCATAGATTCTACAGCAGAGGTCAGCAAATTTTTTCTTAATGAACATATAGTAAGTTTTCTAGGCTTTTCAGGAGCATAGGAGAAATTCTGTGTATTTTGTAAGTACTTATAAAACCATTTCAAATGTGACCTCAGGCAGCTGACTCGACTTCACCTGTAGGCATATCTAGAATAGTGTTTCTCAAACATTAATATGCATAGTAACCACCAGATGATGTTGTGAAAATAGATTCTCATCTGGTAGGTCTAGGGTGGGGTCTGAGAATCTGTATTTCTTTTTTTTTTTTTTTTTTTTGAGAAGGAGTCTCGTTCTGTCACCCAGGCTGGAGTGCAGTGGAGCGATCTCGGCTCACTGCAAGCTCCACCTCCCGGGTTCATGCCATTCTCCTGCCTCAGCCTCCTGAGTAGGTGGGACTACAGGCGCCCGCCACAATGCCCGGCTAATTTTTTGTATTTTTAGTAGAGACGGGGTTTCACTGTGTTAGCCAGGATGGTCTCGATCTCCTGACCTCATGATCCACCCACCTTGGCCTCTCAAAGTGCTGGGATTTCTAATAAGCTCCTAGGTGATGTTGATGCTGTTGGTCCAAGGTCCACACATCGAGAAACAAGTCTCTAGAGAGATAAGTATGGTAAAAGGAGAAATCCTAAAAGAAAAACAATTGAGCAAAGCTGCAGGAGTTTTAGGAGCAGAGGAAGCAATAGCAAGGGCTCTAGGCTGAGGTCAGAGGGAGTGCCAAGTAATTTAATTAATGGACATTTATTGACCATCAACTCACTTCAAATCATGGCTCTAAGTGCCACAAGGAAAGAGGCCAAGCTTTCACAACCTTGAGCATACTTTGTTAAAGAATCAGCTAGAAGACAGAGTAGCAGAGGAGGAAGACCTGTGTAGTCCACTGTGGCAGAGAGAGCCAATCGTCCAGCAGAAACCTGATGCTTCAAGGGCTCAGATACACACGAATAGAGGATCTCAACAAATAGATGCTTTATCTGCCCAGCAACCGCCTGTCCAACTTCAGATTGCCATAACCCTTGCCACTGATCTATGTAGCCAAGGCTATTTCTTTTAAAACAACTACGTAATCGTCCTCATTTTTTCCTTTAAAAAACCTGTGTCTTCTTGTAATCCCAGCACTTTGGGAGGCCAAGGTGGGCCGATAATGAGGTCAGGAATTCAAGACCATCCTGGCCAACATAGTGAAACCCCATCTCTACTAAAAATTAAAAAAAAAAAAATAGCCAGGTGTGGTGGTGGGTGCCTGTAATCCTGGCTACTTGGGAGGCTGAGGCAGGAGAATCACTTGAACCTGGGAGGTGGAGGTAGCATTGAGCCGAGACTGCACCATTGCACACCAGCCCGGGTGACAGTGCAAAGACAGACTCCATCTCAAAAAACAAACAAACAAACAAAAACACCTGTGTCTTCTTTTATCTCTCCGAATACACACATAGTTTACTATGGCGTGTGTATTTCCATTGCAATGCTCTATTTCCAAATAAACATCATTTTCTTTAAAAAAAAAAAAAAAAAAAAGATATTTCAGAGGCAGGCAAACCAAAGCACACAGATTTAAATTCCACTTTCAAATCTTGATTAGCTCTTTGGCCTAATATGTGTCATCTAACTACCCTGCTATGGTTTGAATGTTTGTGTCCCTCCAAAACTCACGGTAGAACTTAAACCTCAAGGTGGTGGTATTAAGATATAGGGCCTTTGGAAAGTGATTGCACTGTAAGGGTTCCACCCTCATACATGGGATTAGTGTCCTTATAAAAGGGCTTGAGGGAGTGAGTTTGCGCCTTCCATCCTTACACCATGTGAGGACACAGCAAGAGGTAAAATCTGTGAAGCAGAGAGCCAGCCTTCACCAGACACCAAATCTGCTAGTGCCTTGATCTTGGACTTCTAGCCTCCTGAACTGTGAAAAATAGGTTTCTACTCTTTATAAGTTACTCGGTCTAAGATATTTTTTTACAGCAATATAAATGGACTGAGACATATTCTGAACCTCAGATTACCATGCTGAACATGCAGGTATCAACTTCAGCAAGGCATTATGAAGGTTAAATGGGATAGGATGTATAGAGGCAGCTGGCACATAATAGTTGAATGAAGATCCAACACTTTTTCTTCCCTTGGTAAAGACATTGGCATAGTCACTTGCTTGTGAAATGTGCAAATATGGAACCAGTGGTTTTAAGAGAGGACTGCACAATTCCTATGAATATATAAGCTCTCTCTGGAAGAATACCCAATAAGTTGAAAACACTGATGGCATTGAGACAGGTTAATGAATGAGTAGAGAACAAGGATGAGAGAAAAACTTTTGTGTATCTTGATTCTTTTTGATGTACATATTTTGCTCATTAAAAAATGGAATTACAGGGCCAGGCCACGATGGCTCGTGCCTGTAGTCCCAGCACTTTGGGAGGCCAAGGCAGGCGGATCACCTGAGGGCAGTCGTTTGAGACCAGCCTGGCCAACATGGGGAAACCCCATCTCTAATAAAAATAGAAAAATTAGCCAGGCGTGGTGGCGCACACCTGTAGTCCCAGCTACTCAGGAGGTTGAGGTGGGAGAATCGCTTGATCCCAGGAGTCAGAGGTTGCGGTGAGCCGAGATTGCAGCACTGCACTCCAGCCTGGGTGACAGAGTGAGACTCTGTCTCAATTTAAAAAATAAAAATAAAAAAATGGAATACACACACAGGCACATGCACACACATGCTGAGTGGATAAGTGATACAGATTTAGGAACATAAGTCTATTAGCAACAGGTATGAGTGAACGTAGACTTCAGCATAAAGTTGTACTTCTGTCCAGGAAACCAGCAAACTGTACTAAGGAGCTTTTTTTCACTTTTATTTCTAAATATCATCATACCTAAGAAAATTCATTAAGATTGATTATTCTAGAAGCTATGGAAGATAGTGTTAGTTGATTCACTCAGCACGTATGTCAACCCTATTGCTTCTTGTTTTTCCTACTTTAAAAAAAATTGATTTTCCAGCCTTCCTTATAGCCAGAGGTGACCATACAACAGTTATAGTCATTGTGACATCCACAGAAAGCTGTTGGTGCCACCTCTTCTGTTTTATCCTTCTGTCTGTCATGCTGGCTTGATGCCTAGAGTTCCAACAGCCATTTTACAACCATGAGAAAGAAAGCCCACATGCTTGGGACACTGAAGCAGAAAGAAAGAAAATGCTTGGGTTTCAATGGTATCAGTGAGCTGCCTCCTGAGAGCTACCTCTGTATCTCTTGTCTCATTAAAAAAAAAAAAAATGAATTCCCTATTTGTGTAACACTTTCTATTATATTTTTATTTTAGTTATAGCCAAAATCAATATTTAATTATATAAAGAAGAATCAAGTTAAATAACTGGTTTTCAGAGAAGGAAGTTCATGAGCGATGTGGAAGATAAAGAAAGAATCAGTTTCAGAAGGCTGATATCAGATTAGTTGCATCTGAAATATAACCAGAGTATACGTCCCTCTTATTTCTGTGATATGTGAACACAGCCCCTAAACAAATATATACATTTTTATTAGCCATCTCTGTTCTGCTTAATTTTAAAATTAGATTATCTGCCTTATTTTTCCCATTCTTAGAAACCTGAAGCAAAGGACGTATTACAAAGATTTTGGAGAATGCATGGAATAAAGGAAGGACTGAACAATTAAGCTATGGGAAGAACTGAAACACAGAAGTTCCAAGACCTCCAGAAGCTGGGGAATGGAAACATGCTTTCTATAGCATTGCCTAGCGTCGTGCAACTCTGACACTCTCTGTTTCTATGTATCTCAATTCAGGTTTTCCAATTATTAGAAGAATTAATCTAACTGAACAAACTTGGGTCAGATATCTGTATTTTGAGAGCATATAGCTATGTCCAGGGGACAGAGTAGAATACATAGGCTTATCCTTGGGGTAACTACATGGAGCTGAGCAACCATCGCAGTTTGTGTCTCCTACATTCCACCTGTTGATTGTGGTGGTTGTGTACACACACACGAACGTACACACAGACCCACACACACACTCTCTCTCTCTCTTCTTTCTCTCTCACTTCTCTATACTCAATATATATATTTTTCTCCATCTATCCACAAATGCCTCAATTCAACTAAAAGTAATTAATCCATACATAATAACTAACACTCTTGTCTTCTTCTAAAATGGGAAATGACCTAAATTCATGCCCAGCTATTAAACAAGGTACGATGTCATGATACCACATTTTTTTTTGAAATCAGGCTCCCTGGGTGATATCCATTTGTATTATATATGTGTAATAATTTCATCTGGGCATTCTGCAACTACACAGCCTGTGAAGGGGAGAAAGGTTAGGGAATCAATACTAATATAAATATTGACCTAGTATAGGTTTAGTATGCAAAGAAATGCAAGTGCAGATTTTTTTATTTGCTGCTGAAACTGGTCATGAGGTTTATTGTAGTCCATTCAGGTTGCTACAACAAAATGCCATAAACTCGATAGCTTATAAACAGTAGAAATTTATTTCTCATGGTTCTGGAGACTGGGAAGTACAAGCTCATGGTGCCATCAGATTCGGTGTCTGGACAGGATCTGCTTTCTGGTTCATAGATAGTACCTTCTCACTGTCCTCATGTGGTGGAAGGAACAAGTTAACTCTCTGGGGTCTTTTTTTTTGTGAGAGCATTAATCCCGCTCTTGAGGGCCCTGACTGCATGACCTAAGCACCCCCCAAAGGCCCCACCTGCTAAGACCATCATATTGGTGATTCGGTTTCAGCATATGAATTTGGAGGCACACAAACATTCAGACTACAGCAAGGCTCTAGCTAGTATTTATGACTTCCATGTTATTCTTACCATTAGCCAGCAACTCAGTTACTCAGAATTATTTGCCCAGTGAAGTTACCCAATAATGTATCCCTAACTGGTCTAGGCCCTTAGTGTTTCAACTTATATAATGTTGCTGTACCTTCTGTTAATCTTTGCCATTGAGCATGGTAGTGTAAGGTGGTTTTTTTCTCTCCAAAGAATTGCTGTTAATATAACTCAACTCTACTACCCTGTGACCTCTGTGTATTCCCTTGCAAGTTGTAATTGCCTATAAAACAGAATATTTTGAAGTCAGATATCTACCCCTTGGATAAATTGGCCAGAGGCCTAAGATGAAAAGGACATTCACCCCAGGAATGGTTATATACTGGTTGACCACCCCAGATTTTTCTAGGTAAATATCCTTTCTTTAATAGTGGTTATTTACAAGATTTGTGTATGAAGAATGTGAATTTTTTAATATAATAAAATTTTGTCAGCATCCAGTTTATTCTTACATAAGTTTCTAGAATACTGACAGAATATTCTGATCATTGGTTATGTACCAACTATTTTAATTTAATCTTTTCTTCTCAAATTTTATCTTAACCATATATTCTACCCAGTTTATTAGATTGCCCCATGGTTAAATTTAGTAGGTAGTAAATCATCCTAAGCATACAGAGTGGTTCTTTTTGTGATCAACCCTGAAACATAATTGAAAGAGCAAGGGTATGGGAATTAGATTAATCTGGACTTTATTTCTGGTACTTACTTGCTATCTGACCTTGGGCAACTTATTAATTGCTCTGAGTCTCATTTTCTTCATCTATAAAATGATCATAATAATAACTAATTCATGTGCAGTTTGGAAATGTGTAATTAAATGATTTATATAAAGTTCCTGATACAGTTTCTGAAAAATAATAGACACCCAGCAAGTGATAACCATAATAATCAGAGTTTATTCTTCATATTAACTGGGATAAAATTTATCAGGAAATACAACATGGCAAAGCACCCAGAAATTCACAAGCATGTATTTCGCTTGCCCTTTTATACAGAGCTGAAAATTTTATCATCATTATCTCATCCATTGCCTGCAGCACCATCCTTCCCAAACTCCTCCTGAGACTTTCTACTAAGGTGGAGCACATTGAACCATATGTGACTCTGCCTTTTCTGACTATTTTTGCAAGATTTTTCTCATTAGAGTATTATTAACAGAAAGTGGGGCTGTTATCGAGGTAACTAGGAACGGTGCATTTTCAGTTCAGGCTCCGACGGAACTTCTGCTTGACCTGGTACAACTCCAACTGTGCTCTTGTCTTTCCTCACTCCTGTTGTTCCAAGAATGTAAATATTCTTCCATGTCTTTCTTCCATGTTTTTCTCCACAAGGTCTCATTGAACTACACATTTTCCCTTAAATTTTCTCAACTCATTTTATTTCTCCTAAATAAACTTGATACTTCTCCCTTTTCTAATGCAATAGATCTTCTTACTAATACTGCCCACTAAACATTTGTGTGTAATTTGTCCTTAATTCTACACACAAAATATTATCTCTACAAACATTTTACAACTATAGTGTGTCTACAGAGAACTATAAGAGGAACTTGCTCTAAAGGAGGAACTTCAACAACCAAGCCAAGGGTCTGATAATTTTCAACAATATGTTATTCAAGAAAGTGCAGCAAAAAATATTTTTAAGTTAACGGAGGAGAATGACATGAGCAAAATGGCAAAACAGAAGTTTTCAGCACTTATCCCTTCACAGAAACATCAATTTGAACAGCCATCTGTGCATGAAAATATCTTCATAAGAGACAAGGAATCCAGCTGAGAGGTTATAGCACCTTTGTGGAGCAGAGAAATAAGAAAAGGTGCATTAAAGAGAGTAGAAAAGACAGTTTCATATTATCTGCATTACCCTGCCCCAAAACCTGGGCAGTGCAACATGGAAAGAGATACTATATATGTGGGGGAAGGAGAGTAAAGTTAACACCTGACTTCATGGACTCCAATGCCAGGCACGATTCAGTGAACTCAACACCAGGCAGGTTCCTATAGCCACAGGCTACAGGACAGTCCCTGTAAACCCAAGCTCCAGGCTGTCCCCTTACGGCTCTAAGACCCAATGGCTCCAACCTCCATAGCTCTTATGAACATAGGCTCCAGGCCTTCCCCAGAACCAGGCCATTTATGGCTGCCCTAGGCTCCACGCTGGTCACTATAGACTCAGGCTCTGGGCCTGTTTTCATGGACTCAGCACCAGGCCCACCACAGTGAACCCCAGCATGAAGTCAGTATCCACGGCTCCAGGCTCCAGACCCATCTCAGCACCAGGCCACCCACTGCAGCCCAGGATCCAAACTCACTTCAACACCTGGCTGGTCCCTATAGCCCCAGCCAGGCCCCAGGCCAACCCCAATGCCAGGCTGGCCCTCATGGCCCCAGCTCCCAGGGCCACCCACACAGACTCAGGTTCCAGGCCTGTCCCCATGGATCCAGTCATCAGGCCCACCTCAAGAGTCCCCAGTGCCGTACCAGACCTCATGGACCCAGAACCCAGGCCTATACCCATGGACCCAAGCTCTAGACACAACCCCACAGACTCAGGTAACAGATCAGACCCTGTGGACCTAGGCACCAGACCAACATGTACAAGGACTTCAGCAGCAAGTTCACCCATGAACCCTGCTAGCTGAACCACCCAGAATCTCTGGATGTGCTGACTGGTGAAGGGCTTTCCCTGCCAAAAGCAATCTGTCAAGAATGAAAAAGCTGGCTCTTTTTCAAATGTACAGACATCATTACGAGGCTATAAGGACCACAATTAATCAGAGAAACATGACGCTATCAAAGGAACAAAATTAAGCACCAGTAACCAACCCTAAAAAAATAAAGATGTATGAACTGCCTAACAAATAATTCAAAATAATCATCTCAAAAAAGTTCAGTGAGCTATAATACAGGTAGACAACTACATGAAGCCAGAAAAACAATACATAAACAAAATTAAAAATTCAACAAAAATATAGGAACCATTAAAAAAAATAGAAATTCTGGAGCTGAAGAACACAATGGATGAACTTAAAAATTCCACATAGAGCTTCAACTTCAGACTCAACCAATAAGAAGGAAGAATCAATGAACTCAATGATAAGTCACTCGAAAGTACTCGGTCAGAGAAATAATAAGGAAAAAACTTAAAAATTGAAGAAATAATATAGAAATATAGTACACTACTATGCAAAGCAATATACTCATTATAGAAGTTCCAGAAGGAGCAGAGAAAGGAACTTCTCTAATGAATATAAAACTTTTCAAATCTAAAGAGGGAAATAAACATACAGATCCGTGAAGCCCAAAGAACCCTAAATAAATTAAACATAAAATAGTTTTTGCCAAGACATATTATATAATCAAATTCTCAAAATAGACAAAGAATTTTGAAAGCAGCAAGAGAAAAGTGACTCATCACATAAAAGGAAAGCCCTCATAAGATTATCAGTGGATTTTGCAGCTGAAACCTTGCATCCAGGAGAAATTGGAATAATGTATATTAAAATAGTGAAAGAAAAAAAATAATACTATGCCCAGTAAAGCTGGCCTTCAGAAACAAAGGAGAGATAAGGACTTTCTCAGACAAACAAAAGCTGATGTAGTTTGTTAACACTAGACCTGCTTTATGAGAAATGTTAAAAAGGGTTCTTAAAGTTGAAACAAAAGGATGCTAACAACACAAAAGCATATAAAAATATAATACTCACTGTAAAGATAAGAATATACTCAAATTCATAATACTCTGATATGGTAATGGTGATATATAAATCCCTTCTAAGACTAGTATAAAAGTTAAAAGACAGTCACAAAAAAAATACAGCTACAATAGTTTGTTAATGAATACACTATATAAAAAGATGTAAATTGTGACCTCGGTAACATAAAATGTGGAAGGAGGAAAAGTTAACATGTAGATTTTTTATATGTAGTTGAAGTTAAGTTGTTATGAGTTTAAAATAGATTGTTGTAACTATAAGATGTTTTATGTAAGCTTTATGGTAAGCACAAAGGAAAAAGCCTGTAGTAGAAACACAAAACATAAAGAGAAATAACTCAAAGCATACCATCACAAAAAAAATTATCAAATCAGAAAGGAAGACCAGCAAGAGAGGAGTAACAGGACAAAGAAACTACAAAATAGTAAGAAAACAATTAACAAAATGGAAACAGTATACTTTAAGTATAAATGGGTTACTTTACCCAATCAAAAGACGTAGAATGGCTGAATGAATTTAAAAACAATAAGATCCAACTATACACTACCTACAAGAAACTCACTTTAGCTTTAAAGGGCACACAAAGGCTGAAAGTAAAGGGCTGAGAAAAGGTTCTTTGCAAATGGTAACAAAAAGAGAACAAGAGCAGTTATGTCATACAGATAGACTTTAAATCAAAAATTGTCACAAGAGACACAGAAGTGATTATAAAGGGGTCAATTCATCAGGAGAATTTAACAATTGTAAATATATACATACCCAACAATGGCATACCTAAACATATAAAGCAAATATTAACAGAACTGAAAGGAGAAATAGACAGTAAGATAATAATAGTAGGGGACTTCAACACTCCACTTTTAACAATAGATAGATCATACGGATAGAAAATAAATGAGGAAACAGCTGACCTGAATGACACTATATATCAAATGAACCTAATAGACATATGTATCCTGCAAATTTACTAAATTTATTTATTAGTTCTAAAAGTTTTTTGGTGGAGTCTTTAGAATTTTTTATGTATAAGATCATGCTATATGCAAATGAAGATAATTTTAATTTTTTTTATTTGGCTGCCTTTATTTCTTTTTCTCGACTAGTTGCTTGGACTATGATTTTTAGTACTATGTTGAATAGAAGTGACAAAAGTGGGCATCCTTGACTTACTCCTGACTTTAGAGGAAAGCTTTGAACTTTTCACCACTGAATATGACATTCTACCCAAAAGCAATAGAATATACATTTTTTTCAAGTTCATATGAAATATTCTTCAGGATAAATCAAGTTAAGGCACAAAACAAGTCTCAGAAAATTTAAGACGATTAAAATCATGTCAAGTGCCTTTTCTGATGAAAATCGAAATTAGTAACAAGAAAAAAATTGGAAAATTTGCAAATATGTGAAAATTAAACACACATTCCTGAAGAACCAATGGGTCAAAGAAGAAATCGAAAAGAAAATCAGAAAAAATCTTAAGACAAATGAAAATGGAAACAACATACCAAAATTTATGGGACACAGCAAAAGCAATTCTAAGAGGAAACATTATAGCAATAAACACCTACATTAAGAAAAAAAATCTCAAATAAACAACCTAACTTTATGCATCAGGAACTAACAACAGATGAATAAACTAAGCCCAAAGTCAGCAGAAGGAAGGAAATAATAAAGATCAGAGCAAAAATAAAGTAGAGATTTTTAAAAACAACAGAAAGCAGCAATAAAAGTAAGAGCTGGTTTCTTGAAAAGATAAGCGAAACTGACAAATCTTTAGCTAGACTAAAAAAAATTTTAAAAAAAACAGAAAGAAGACTCAACTAGGTAACAGAAATGAAAAAAGAGACATTCCAATTGATACCACAAAAATACAAAAGATCATAAGAGACTACTGTGAATAATTATATACCAATAAGTTGGATGACCTAGATGAAATGTATAAATTCCTAGGAACATACAACCTACAAAGACTCAATTAACAAGAAATAGAGACTGGGCCCGGTGGCTCATGCCTGTAATCCCAGCACTTTGGGAGGCCGAAGTGGGTGGATAGCTTGAGTTCAGGAGTTTGAGACCAATCTGGGCAACATGGAAAAACCCTGTCTCTACTAAAAATAAAAAATAAAAAAATAGCTGGATGTAGTGGTGCACACCTGTAGTCCCAGCTACTCAGGAGGCTGAGGTGGGAGAATCACTTGAGCCCAGGAAGTCAAGGCTGCAGTGAGCCGTAATTGCACCACTGCACTCCAGCCTGAGCAACAACACTGAAACCCAGTCTCAAAAAAAAAAAAAAAAAAACTGAACAGACCAATAATGAGTAAGGAGATTGAATTAATAATCCAAAACCTCTCAACAAAGAAAAGTCCAGGACCTGATGGCTTCACTGGAGGATTCCACCAAAAATGTAAAGAATTAACAGCAATTCTTCTCAAACTCTTCCACAAAACTGAAGAGGAGAGATTATTTCCAAACTCATTTTACAAGGCCAGCATTATTACACTGATACCAAAGCCAGATAAGGACACTACAAGCAAAGAAAATTATAGACCAGTTCCTCTGATGAATGTAGATGCCAACAATCTTAAACAAAATACTCAAAAATTGAATTCAATAACACATTAAAAGAATCATTCACCATGATCAAGTGGGATTTATTCCTGGGATGCAAGGATGTTTCAACATATATAAATCAATAAATATGACATAACACATGAACTGAAAGATAAAAGCCATATGATCATCTTATATCACATTAACAAAATGAAAGAAAAATCATATGATCATCTCAAGAGATGCAGAAAAAGCACTTGAAAAACTTCAACATCCTTTTGTGTTAAAAATTCTCAACAAATTAATTATGGAAGAAATATACCTCAACATAAAAAAAGGGCATATATGACCAACCCAGAGCTTATATCATATTCAACGGTAAAAAGTTGAAAGCTTTTTCTCTAAGATCTGGAATAAGACAAAGATGCCCATTCTTATCACTTACATTTGATATAGTACTGGAAGTCCTAGACAGAGCAATTAGCCAATAAAAAGGAACAAAAGGTGCCAGGCGTGGTGGCTCACGCCTGTAACCCACCACTTTGGGAGGCCGAGGTAGGCGAATCACAAGGTCAGGAGATCGAGACCATCCTGGCTAAAACAGTGAAACCCTGTCTCTACTAAAAATACAAAAAAAATTAGCCAGGCGTGGTAGCAGGCGCCAGTAGTCCCAGCTACTAGGGAGGCTGAGGCAGGAGAATAGTGTGAACCAGGGAGGCGGAGGTCGCAGTGAGCTGAGATGGTGCCACTACACTCCAGCCTGGGCAACAGAGCAAGACTCTGTCTCAAAAATAAAAAGAAAAAGAAATAAAAGGCATCCAAATAAGAAGGAAAGAACTAAAATTATCTTTGTTTGCATATAAAATAATCTTATATATAGGAAATCCTAAAGACTCTGCCAAAAAAATCTGTTAGAATAAACAAACTCAGTAAACTGGCAATATACAAAATTAACATAAAAAATCAGTTGCATTTTTAAACACTAACAACTAAACAACAAAGAAATCAAGAAAACAATTTCATTTACAATAGTATCAAGAAATACTTATGATTAAACTTAACCGAAGAGGGAAAGATCTGTGCATTGAAAAATATTTGACATTGATAAAAGAGGTTGAAAAAGACAAAAATAAATGAGAAGATATCCTACGTATATGGATGGGAAGAATTAATATTGTTAAAATCTCCATACTACTCAAACTGATCTACAAATCCAATGTAATCCCTATCAAAATTCCAATAACATTTTTCACAGAAATAGAAAAAACTATCCTAAAATTCTTCTGGAACCACAAAAGATTCAAATAGCCAAAGCAATCTTAAGTAGAAAGAACACAGCTGGAGGCCTCAAGCTACCTCATTTCAAAATATACTACCAAGCTATAGTAACCAAAATGGTATGGTACTGGCACAAAAACAAATACATAGACCAATGAAACATTATAGAGAGCCCAGAAATAAATTTACAATCAATTCCTCTTCAACGAAGTTGCCAATAATACACAATGAGGAAAGGACAGTCTCATTAATAATTGGTGTTAAGAAATGTGTATATCCACTTGTAGAAGAATAACATTGCGTCCTTATCTCAGTCCATATACACAAATCAACTCAAAATGAATTACACACTTAACTTTAAGACCTGAAATTGTAAAACTGCTAGAAGAAAACAGGGGAAAACCTTCTTGATATTAATTTTGACGATGATTTTTTATATGACCCCAAAGCACAAACAACAAAAACAAAAATAGATAAATGGGATTGCAGCAAATGAAAAACCTGCACAGCAAAGGAAATACTCAACAATCTTCACTAAAGAATGGGAGAAAACATCTGCAAGCCATACATCTGATAAGGGGTTAATATCTAAAATATATAAGGGATTCAAACAACTCAATAGCAAGAAAAAAAATTCCCTAATTTTAAAATTGGGCAAAAAAAAAAAAAAACTTAAGTAGCCTTTTCTCATAAGGAGATATAAAAATGTCTAACAGGTATATGGAAAAAATTCTCAACATTATGAATCACCATGGAAATGTAACCAAAACTACAGTAAAAGTATCATCACACCTGTTAGAATGTTTATTATCAAAAGAAAAAAGATAACAAGTGTTAGCAAGCATGTGGCAAAAGGGAACACTTGTACACTGTTGGTGATATGTAAATTGGTACAGCAATTTATGGAAAACAGTATAGACGTTCCTTAAAAAGTTAAAAATAGAACTAACATATGATCCAGCCATCCACTTCTGGGATTATATACAAAGAAATGAAATCAGTATCTCCAAGAGATATCTGCACTCTCTTGTTCATTGGAGCATTATTCACAATAGCCAAGACATGGAAACAATCTAAGTGTCCATCAACAGACGAATAGATAAGGAAGTGTGGTATATATCCACAACAGAATAGTATTCAGCCTTAAAAAAAGATGCAAATCCTGTCATTTGCAACAAGATGGATGAAGCTAGAGGACACTATGCTAAGTGAAATCGGCCAGACATAGACAAATACTGCATGGTCTCATTTATATGTGGAATCTAAATCAAAGTCAAAATCGCCATCTTTCCAAAAAGAGAAGCCACAAATCTCCATCTCTGGGCAATGTTACTTCCTCTTTTACTTCGGTCATCTGACATTCTGTAACCTAGACAATAAATCGTAAAGTGAAGCAACTCCACCTTTTCTTATAAAAAAAAAAATAGTACAAGGAGAAACACAGAAAAAGAAATAATTGGTATTCGTGCATATATGTATGTGTTTACGTGTACATATGACACATGCAGAATATGGTTAAAGTTCTTTTCTGGTGGAGTAGCCCAAAGATTCATTTCTAATTGACCTGAGTTCTTAGTGGTCTTCCCTTTATAAGGTTGCTCTAGACTTCTATTAATTTTACAACTGAATATAGTAGTATTAAGAAACACCTCCATGAATTTCCTGGGTCCCAAACATAGTCCTCCTTGCCAACATCACATAGCAGTAATCCAGGATTTCCTGGGTAAGTTCTGGAACCTCTTCTCTGCTTACTGCAGAGCACAAGGAACTAAAAAATATCCAGGTGACATTCTCAGCTTCCAGTTTGATAGAACACCATTATTATGTCCCCTGGTAGAAGCATTCCTCTTTGGAGAATGAAGAACCCTAAATAGCAGTTGCTCATGCAGGATGAAAAAAATTTTGGAAGTGGTTGTTAAACTTGATAGTGATAATAACTTCCATTTCCACCCTGTATTCCCAGACCCATGATCTCTGGCTAAAAAGAAAAAAGAACAACTTATCTCTATTGACGTTCTAAGCATGTGCTTTATCCCGTAGGACAGCAGTGTCATGTAGCAAGACACTGAAATTAATGCTGAGTCTCATGTCAACTGATCCCACTATAAAATGAATTCTGCAACCAGGAGCAAGATTAAATGGGATACAATGATGGTGAATATGGCATTTGACATAAACTCTGGGAGCAGGGAAGACAAATTAATTTTCAGAATAAGAGCTTATTTCAGGAAGGATACATCTCTGCTCCTTCATATGGAAGGAGTTCAATGAAATCAACCTGCTATTATATTGCACAGCACAAATCCTATGACTGGCAGCTTAGACACGCAAGAGGGCCAGTAGCCAGATGAGCCTTATTGAGGGGAAGTCCACTTAGTTGATGTTATAAATGGCCTTTATCACTACTGGTATGGTCCCTTTGTACATGAGACCATTATGCAGGCTTTGAGTTCGTTTGGGAAGAGGCTGGCTGCTGTCCACAGAATAGGCTATATTGTTCTCCTGATTATTGAGGGTCTCCACTTTAGTGGGTGCCCTATGGTGCCCATATTCATGAAGAAATGATATTCACACTCTGTGCCCTCTCCATGAAGTCCATCCATATTTGTCTTCTCCAGGCTTTCTTGTCACCAATATTTCAGTATGATTCATTCACAGACCCTGACTGACCAGCCACTACCATGTATCAGTGTACATACATACTTATGGCCATATCTCCTTTCTTATGAAGGAGGTAACCGGATATATTGCCAGAAGTTCTACCCACTTGCAGAAGTCCCCTTATCACCCCTGAATGGAGCTGTAAGACAGAAGCAATCCACTTCCTACTGTTGCCAGCCTATCACACACACCAGTCGATTCCTCGGATCCAAGTCCATTCTTCCTCCATCAGCTAGCCACAGTAAACTCTCCATTAGGCATAGGATTGGCTTGAAGGACAGATGGCAAAGCTACAAAAGTAGAAGCCGTGGAGATCTGAGTCACTCATACACCTCACTTGTGTCTTTTGAAACTTTTAGAACCTAATCTCACATTTACCATTTCCACTTAATGATACAGCATTGTTAACATATAGGCAAACCCATAGCTTTGTAAATTAGATAATATCCAGTTTGCAATTGACTGGTCAAGCCTTATAGTCATTTCAGTCATCTCATTTTAAAGGGACAAACATCTTGTCTCTGCCTGGGACTGTATCTCTGAATAAGAATAGTTATCAACAGAGGAGAGGTATAAAACCCTAAGAATCTGCATGTGATTCTCCTATTAAAACTTGCCAGAGGTCCATGCAACATTTAATAATGGGAACTAATATAAAGGTGTTAAATGATAACAACGAAAAGCAAAAAACAGATGATGAGCCTGAAACTCCTATCCCTAGGTCTGGAGAGACAAAGAGAGAGAGAGAGTGGTGTTACCAGGGACCTGAAGCTGGGGTCACCTGGAAGTAAGTGAAACCATGGTGAGGCTGCCTGAGACTGTGGAATGATGGTTTCTGGAAGATCTGAAACCACTGAGGAAACACAGTCCCTGATGGAGATACCATCTAAGGCCCAGGGGCAGAGTTGGAAGGGATGAATGAGAAATACTCAGACTTCTCCACTCCATCCACCATTGATTTCCTCCCATTGGCTGAACATAACCAGGAGCCAGTTGGCAAGGAAGCCTGAGAACTGTAGTTTCTCATCAGAGGTTGGGTCAGTATCAAAATGTCAAATGACTGGTACATTTCTTCACTGTTGTTTTTGAAATTTCAGGACAGTGTCTGTCACATGATGAGCGCTCAATAAAATGTTATCAAGTGAGGAAAAATCCACTTATTCTGATCTGGCTCTACAATAGACCCAAATGGCAGCAGCAGATAAATAGTGGAGTTTTTGCCTCCAGCAAACTTTTTCCTACTATTAGCAGCTTAGAAGCAATAAAGGAGCTTGGGGATGAATCCTACTGTATGATTTTGATTTTGATCTTTGTCCACTGAGTGGGACACTGGGGTTCCTATTTGTCCACTTGGGTTCCTATTTGTGAGAGAGCATTGTAGCAGAGCTGTGGAGGGAGAGCAGCAAGAGCCACCAACCTAAATACCTGTCCTGAATCCCCCCAGGTCTATTAGCTTGCTCTGGCCTCTAGCATGGTCCAAGAGCATTATTTCAGACCTAAATATTTCAGTTCACTTTCCAATGGAGAGTGGTTACTATTATTTTGTGAAAGGCTTCCAAGATTGGTGTTAGAATATTTCTTACACAGAATAATGTCATTTGTCAAATGATAAAATAGGCAGCTTAGAAGAGAACACAACAAAATTAATGTAACTTTCTAAATGCTAATATAGCTTTTAAGAACAAAGAAACAAATAAAACTGATACCCAAGAAAATAATTACTTTACAAGCCAGACAGGCCAGAAACCTGCCTAGGGATGCTGCGTTTATCAAAAATGGTTTTTAAACGAATGATATTGAAAACACAACATAGCAAAACCCATGGGGTACAGAAAAAGCAGTCTAAGAGGAAAATTTACAGCCATATGTGCCTACATCAAAAAAGAAAAAAATTTTCAGTCAAATAACCTAACAATACATCTTAAAGAACTAGAAAGGAAAGAGCAAACCAAACCCAAAATCAGTAGAAAAAGAGAAATAAAGATCAGAGCAGAAATAAATGAATTTGAAATAAAGAAAACAATATAAAAGATCAAAGAAACAAAAAATCGGTTTTTTGAGAAGATAAACAAAATTGACAAACCTTTAGCCAGTCTAAGAAAAAAGGAGAGAAGACCCAAATAAATAAAATTAAAGGTGAAAAGGGGGACATTACAGCTGATATGAAAGAAATTCAAAGGATCATCAGTGGCTACTATGAGCAACTACATACCAATAAATTGGAAAATCTAGAGGCAATAGACAAATTCCTAGACACATACAACCTACCTAGATTGAACCATGAGGAAATCCAAAACCTAAATAAACCAATAATATGTAAGAAGATTGAAGCCATAATGAAAATTCTCCCAGTAAGGAAAAGCCCTAATAGCTTCACTGTTGAATTCTACCAAACATTTAAAGAACTAATACCAATCCTACTCAAACTATTCCAAAAAATAGAAGAGAAAGGAATACTTCCAAACTCACTCTGTGAGGCCAGTATTACATTGATACCAAAACCAGAAAAAGACACATCAGAAAAAAATAAATAATTTACTATAGGCCAATATTCCTGATAAATATTGATGCAAAAATCCTGAACAAAATACTAGCAAATCAAATTCAACAACACATTAGAAAGATCATTCATCATGACCAAATGGAATTTATCCCAGGGATGCAAGAGTGGTTCAGGATACACAAATCAATCCATGTGACAGATTATACATCAGCAAAATAAAGGCTAAAAACCACATGATCATTTCAATTGACGCCGAAAAAGCATTTGATAAAATTCAACATCCCTTCATGATAAAAACCCTCAAAAAACTGGATATAGATGGAACGTACCTCAACACAATAAAAGCCATATGTGACAGACCCACAGTCAGTATCATATTGAATAAGAAAAAACTGCTGAATGCCTTTCTTCTAAGATCTGGAATAAGACAGGAAAGCCCATTTTCACCACTGTTATTCAACATGGTATTGAAAGTCCTAGTTTCAACAATCAGACAAGAGAAGGAAATAAAGGGCATTCAAATTGGAAAGCAAGAAGTGAAATTACCCTTGCTTGCAGAGGATATAATCTTATATTTGGGATAACCTAAAAATTCCAGGAAAAAAAAAAGTATTAGCACTGATAAACAGTCTGGGCATGGTGGCTCATGCCTGTAATCCCAGCACTTTAGGAGGCCAAGGTGGGCAGATCACCTGAGGCCAGGAGATTGAAACCAGCCTGGCCAACACTGCAAACCCTGTCTCTACTAAACATACAAAGATTAGTTGGGTGTGGTGGCCCACACCTGTAGTCCCAGCTACATGGGAGGCTGAGGCAAGAGAATCGCTTCAGCCTGGGAGGTGGAAGTTGCAATGAGACAAGACGGCACCACTGCACTCCAGCCTGAGTGACAGAGCAAGACTCCGTCTCAAAAAAAAAAGAGCTGATAAACAAATTCAGTAAAGTTGCAGGATACACTATCAATATACAAAAATCAGTAGCATTTCTATATGCCAACAGCAAACAATCTGAAAAGGAAATTTAAACAGTAATCCAATTTATAGTAGCCACAAATAAAATTAAATATCTGGGAAATAATCAAAGGAGTGAAAGATCTCTACAATGAAAACTGTAAAACACTGATGAAAGAAACTGATGAAAGAAACACACACGCAAATGGAAAGATATTCCATGTTCATTGATTGGAAGATTCAATATTGTTAAAACGTCCATACAACCCAAAGCAATCTACAGATTCATTGCAATCCCTATCAAAATACCAATGACATTAATAGAAATTTTAAAAAACAGCCCCAGAATTTATATGGAACCGCAAAAGACACAGAATAGCCAAAGCTATCCTAAGCAAAAAGAACAAAACTGGAGGAATCACATTACTTAACTTCAAGTTATATTACAGAGCTATAGCAAACAAAACAGTGTAGTACTGGCATAAAAACAGACAGATTGACCAATGGAACAGAATAGAGAACCTAGAAAGAAACCCACACACCTACAGTGAACTCTTTCAACAAAGGTGCCAAGAACATACAAAAAAGACAGTCTCTTCAATAAATGGTGCTGGAGAAACTGAATATCCATAAGCAAAAAAATGAAACTAGACCCCTACCCCTCATCATAGACTAAAATAAAATCAAATGGATTAAAGACTTAAATCTAAGACCTCAAATTATGAAACTACTACAAGAAAACATTGAGGAAACTCTCCAGGACATTGGATGGGTCAAAGATTTCCTGAGTAATACCCCACAAGTACAGGCAACCAAAGCAAAACTGGACAAATGGGATCACATTAAAGTAAAATCCTTTTGCACAGCAAAGGAAACAATCAACAAAGTGAAGAGACAGCCCACAGAATGGGAGAAAATATTTGCAAACTATCCATCTGACAAAGGATTAATAACCAGAATATATAAGGAGCTCAAACAACTTAATAGGAAAATATCTAATAATCCAATTTTAAAATGGGCAAAAGATCTGAATAGACATTTCTCAAAAGAAGACATACAAATGGCAAGCAGTGATATCAAAAGGTACTCAACATCACTGATTATCATAGAAATGTGAATCAAAACTACAATGAGATATCATCTCACCCCAGTTTAAATTATTTTTACCCAAAAGACAGGCAGTAACAAATGCTAGCGAGGACCATATACTATTGGTGGGAATGTAAATTAGTACAATCACTATGGAGAACAGTTTGGAAGTTCCTCAAAAAACTAAAAATAGAACTACCATGTGATCCAGCAATCCCACTGCTGGGTAAATACACAAAGAAAGGAAATAAGTATATTGAAGAGATATCTGCACTCCCATGTTTGTTGCAGAACTGTTCACAATGACCAAGATTTGGAAACAACCTAAGTGTCCATCAACAGATAAATAAAGAAAATATGATACTTAGGCATAATGGAGTATTATTCAGCCATAAAAATGAATGAGATCCTGTCATTTGCAACAGCAGGGGTGAAACTGGAGATCATTATGTTAAGTGAATCAAGCCAGGCACAGAAAGACAAACATTGCATGTTCTCACTTATTTGTAGGATCTAAAAACCAAAACAACTGAACTCATGGAGGTAGAGAGTACAAGGAAGGTTACCAGAGTTTGGGAAGGGTAGATAGTAGGAGGGGTTCAGGAGAGGTGGGGATTGTTAATGGGCACCAAAAAAACAGTTAGAAAGAATGAATAAGACCTGGTGTTCGATAGTACAACAGAGTGACTATAGTCAATAACAATTTAATTGTACATTTTAAAATAACTAAAATAGTATAATTGAATTGTTTGTAACACAAAGGAGAAATATTTGAGGGAATGATTACTCTATTTGTCATGATATGATTGTTACTCACTGAATGCCTGTATCAAAATATCTCATGTACCCCATAAATTCATACACCTACGGTGTACCACAAAAATTAAAAATAAACTGTTTTAGAGCTAGTTTTAAAGTAGATTGTAAGTCACACAGGAAAGCTAATTTCTTGGCTGCAGCAGGGGCTACTGGATTCGCCCCAAAATCATTTCTCCCCTCTTCCATAAAAAGAGAATTTTTACCTGGGCACATGACTTCCTTATAGCTTAGGGACCATGTGACTAATTTCTGGCCAATGGGATATTGGGGAAGCCATGTGACAGCATCTTGGATCCTTCCTTGAGAGTACAGCTGGTATGTGGACCGGACCCCATCTTCTTATTTTCCTTTCCTTCTTACTGCAGCCTGAAATTAAGAAACCGCTGAAGACCAAAAAATGCAAGTTATATCTAGGGAGGGTAGAGTGGTGAGCTAGAAGAGTCTGAATCTCTGAAGACTTGGGGGCAAAGCTGCCATATGGGTGGACCATTTAATGCCAAACTTAGTTTATACCTGAAAAAAAAATACATTTTTATGTAGTGTCAGTGAACTGTCATGTCATATTTGTATGTTACTTTCAGCCAAATCAATCATTCCACAGAGCTCCAGGAGCAAGAATAGCATTCTGGAATTGGGAGGCCCTCTTTGAGGCTCTGAAGCAAGCTAAGGGAATAGATTTTGAAGACTTGTCAGAAACAGGATTTAAGGTAAGTTCACATACTATCAACCCAATTGTCCACATCAAGTAGATGATGAAACCATCACTAAGAGAAGCTGGGCAGCTACAGATGGGAGAGAGGCTGGAGATAGACAGGAACGTATCTTACCATTAAGAAACAAACACTTATTAGAGAAGGTACAATAAATGTGGTGCCTGAATTAAATCAACACCATGTCTCTTTTAGACAAATTGCATGTTATGTCCTAACCAGCTGAGCAATAGCTTTTACTATTACCAGCCTAACCACTGAGATAAAATAACTGAGCTGTAAAAATAATTACTCATTTTATGATTGTTAAGCCTGAGAAATCAAGCCAAAGTCTGGCTAATAAACTGTCTTTGAAGAAGTCAGGAAGTTAGGGGAGTGTGTTCCCCCCATCCTCCAGCTCCTTTTGTGTTCTAGCTACACGCTCCTGAGATATTTGAGTCACTGGGGTGATAAGTGCTGTGTGAATACATTGAGGAAAAGAAAAGAACTTGTAAGTGATCTTATTAAAGATCTTGAATAGACTTTTAACTTACAATGTATGAGTCACACCAACCCCAGGGATCCTGCCAGTCTCCCCTCTGAGCCATCATACCTTATCCACTGGTTTCATAACCAACACTCTCAACCTTTAAAAAAAAAAAAAAAAGGCATCAATTCCAAACTGTTTTCAGCAGAATATTGGCATCCCCAAGGATGTCAACAAATATCCAGTGACCAAATACACTTGGAAATGGACCATATAAGGAGAATGCTTTATAAATATTTTCAGGTGTGTTTTTAAATGGCATAAATCTGGCTACCATGTTGCTTCTCACCTACAGCATTCATTCCCTTGGGATCAGTGTAGCCAGAAATTATTTAGAACAAACTGGACTTTTATTGAAAAACCTTTATCAAGAGTGAAAGGAATTTTGAAATTTTAAAGTTAAAAAACAAAACAGAAATGCTCTTTGCTAATCAATTTAAATGCAAAGTACGGATGAAATCTGCATTCGTTCAAGCCTTTAGCTCAAACTCAGAGTTTTACTGAAAGAGGAAACTAGGGAACTCAACACATAATTAAGAGAAATTCAGGTTGCCTAGAGAGGAAGTGAAGAAGGTCTAGGACAGAAAGATGGAGCATTTGAGGAGAGAAGAGATGGGGTAAGCACACTAGCAGATACTTTGATCTCATCCCCTGGCTAGGATAAAATCCCAGAGGAGGCTGTAATGGTGACAACTAAATAAATTGGGGCACTCCAGAATTGTGGGACTTTTTTCCTCACTTTCTCAGTCACAAACTGGAAGATTCTAAGTCTTCATTTGAAAGACTCGCATTCAGCTAGTCATCAGAGCGACATGTCACTAAAAAACAGATTAGACCTACTGAGAGGGATGAGACCAAGGTCATGTTCCTCAAGAGTAGTGCAGGGGAAACAGAAGCCCCCATGTGACCTAGGGAGGAAAAAGGAAGTGCCAACAAGGCTAATGAATAAGCAGAACTTTCACAGTCAGCGCAAAGAGGGCCCTGTGCACTGCAACATCAAAACCAAAGACTAGTGAACAGAACTTCAGTCGTGGACAGCAGAGCACCACCCCTGAAAGGGTCAATCAAGGCCTGTGATTCCCCAGTGGACACCAATCCAGGTTGAACCAGACCGGACCCACCCACCTCTCTACAGCAAAGACCGTTGCAGATCCAGAGTGCACAAATAGATGCACAGTCTTCTGTCCCCCAAAGTCTCAAAGATACACATGTAGGGCAGGGGGAGAATATAAAAGACTGAGTGTTGCCCCCAAAGAGAGCAAGTGATCCACACTGGAATAAATGGAGGTGCTGTTTATTAGAAAGATCTATGTTTGCTACACCCCCTTCAACCCATGAGGTGGTGTTCCATGACAAAGATTAGATCTGCTGTGGAAAATAAATAGGCAACATGTTTTCATGCTGAGCAGTACTTGAATTTCATTTTCAATTCCACTATACTAGTAATTCTAGTATGTCGCTGAGGAGGGGAAAAACTAGAAAAGACACCTTAGAAATGAATATGTTGCAAGAGGAGAATCTTCATGAAACAGTAACAGAAAGCCATAAGAAGACCAAAGGAGTTGGTAAAAATGCAAATAGGTAATACTGCAAGAAAAAACATTGCAATCGTATTATGTTTGTGGCATAATAACCATATGAGGGAGACTGATTACATGTTATGCAAAACTGAATCTGTGTTTAGAGGACAAACTTGAGAAACTCCTAAAATGTAGAGGAAATCAATGTTGTTGAAAATGATTAACTAATTGCAGTGAAAGGGACAAAGAACAAATTTGCAACTTAACAATTTTAGGAACAACCTCAAGTAATAATCAGAACAACTGAAATAGAGACAAGAATTCCGTTGAAGGAATTGAAGAAAAATTTCCTAATTTGTTAAGTATGTACATGAAGAGAGCTAATTGTCATTCAGACAAAAGTAGTATAAAAAGAATCACACCTACACCATCTTTTATTTTTTCATTTTTTAGAAATAGGAAGAAAGAAAAAAATCTGAAGGTGGTATATGGGATATCTCTGTACCTTTCTCTCAATTTTACTTTTTACCTAAAACTGCTCTTTCAAAAATGTATTTTCAAAAACTAACAATAAAGAATACATGGCTCTCTTCTTTTAAGCATGTCTGGTAAAAATAGAAGAACCATTCATGAGGTTGGGAAATTGTGCTGAAAGCATTACTATTCCAAACATCTTGGTGAATTCCACAAACATATAAGGAAGAAATTATACCAAGTCTCTACAATCTCTCCCAGAAGTTAGAAGCAGAAATATTTCCTAACTTATTCTAATCAGCCAGCATTATCCTAATATGAAAACCAGACAAAGACATTACACAAAAAGAAAACTAAAGACCAGTATCTCTCATGAAATAGATGCAAAATTTTTCAACAAAAGATTATTGAATCAAATACAATATATAAAAAGAGTATGACACCACAACCAAACAAGATTTACCCCAGGTATGCAACAGGTAAATCCTACTTGGTTTGTTTTTGTTTTTTTTCCTCCCTCTCTTTGCTTCTTTTTATTTTTTATTTTTGTTTTTTTTTTTTTTACTTTGAATTCCACGATACATGTGCAGAACGTGCAAGTTTGTTACATAGGTATACATGTGCCATGGTGGTTTGCTTTACCTACCAACCCATCATCTAGGTTCTAAGCCCCGCATTTATTAGCTATTTGTCCTGATGCTCGCCCTCCCAACCCCTTACAGGCCATGGTGTGTATGTTACTTTCCCTGTGTCCATGTGTTCTCATTGTTCAACTCCCACTTATGAGTGAGAACATGCAGTGTTTGGTTTTCTGTTCCTGTGTTAGTTTGCTGATAATGATGGCTTCCAGCTTCATCCATGTCCCTGCAAGGACATGATCTCATTCATTTTTATGGCTGCGTAGTATTCCATGGTGTATATGTGCCACATTTTCTTTATCCAGACTATAATTGATAGGCATTTGGGTTGGTTCCAAGTCTTTGCTCTTGTAGATAGTGCTGCAATAAACATGTATGTGCATGTGTTTCTACAGAATGATTTACAATCCTTTGGGTATATACCAAGCAATGGGATTGCTGGGTCAAATGGTATTTCTGGTTCTAGATCCTTGAGGAATCACCACACTGTCTTCCACAATGGTTGAACTAATTTACACTCCCACAAACAGTGTAAAAGTGTTCCTAATTTGAACAGAAAACCAAACACCACATGTTCTCACTCATAAGTGGGAGTTGAACAATGAGAATACATGGACACAGGGAGGGGAACATCACACACTGGGGTCTGTCTGGGAGTGCTGGGCAGACTACAGGAGGGATAGCATTAGGAGAAATACCTAATGTAGATGATAGGTTGATGGGTGCAGCAAACCACCATGGCACATGTATACCTATGTAACAAACCTGCACGTTCTGCACATGTATCCCAGAACTTAAAGTATAATTTTATTTTAAAAAAAGCATTTCTATTTCTCCACAACCTCACCAGCATCTATTGTTTCCTGACTTTTTAATAATCACCATTCTGACTGGCATGAGATAGTATCTCATTGTGGTTTTGATGTGCATTTCTCTAATGATCAGTGATGATTAGCTTTGTTTCACATTTGTTGGCCGCATAAATGTCTTTTTTTTTTTTTTTATTTTTAGATGGGGTCTCACTCTTGTTGCCCAGGCTGGAGTGCGATGGTGCGATCTCAGCACACTGCAACCTCCGCTTCCCAGGTTCAAGCTATCCTCCTGCCTCAGCCTCTTGAGTAGCTGGGATTACAGGCACCCACCACCATGCACAGCTAACTTTTGAATTTTTAGTAGAAATGGGGTTTCACCATAAATGTCTTCTTTTGACTGTCTGTTCATATCCTTCACCCACTTTTTGATGGGGTTGTTTGTTTTTTTCTTGTAAGTTTGTTTAAGTTTCTTGTAGATTCTAGATACTAGTATCTAGACCTTTGTCAGATGGGTAGATTGCAAAAAATGAAAAACTTAGGTATAAATCCTTTTAAAATGCACAAGATCTATATGAATAAAACTACAAAACTCTAATGAAATAAATACAAGAACTAAATAAATGGAGAGATGTTCCATGTTCATGAATAGGAAAAGTCAATATTGTCAAGATGTCAGTTTGTCCCAACTTGATCTGTAAATTGAATACAACTTCAGCAAGTTGTTTTGTGGATATTGACAAACTGATTCTAAAGTTTATGTGCAGAGAGAAAAGAGCCAGAATAATCAATACAATAGTGAAAAAGAAGAAGAAAGTCAGAGGACTGACACTACCTGACTTCAACAGTTTCTATAAAGTAACAATAATCAGGATAGCATGGTATTGGTAAAAGAATAAACAAATAGGTCAATGTAATGGAATAGAGAGCCCAGGAATATACCCCACACAGATACGTTCAACTGAACTTTGACAAAGGAGCAATGGAAATACAATAAAGAAAAGATAGTCTTTTCAGCAAATGATACTGCAGCAATGGGGCATCCACATGCAAAAAAAAAAGTGAATCTAGATACAAAACTTAAGCCCTTTATAAAAATTAACTCAAATTGGATCATAGATCCAAACAGAAAATACATAGAATTCCTGGAAGATACAGTAGAGCAAAATCTAGATGACTACAAGTGTGGCAAAGACTTTAAATCCAACATCAAAGGCACAATCCATGAAAGATGTGATTTGATAAGCTGGACTTCATTAAAATTAAAAACCTCTACTCTATGAAAGACACTGCCAAGAGAATCAGAAGACAAGCAACAGACTGGGAAAAAAATAATAGCAAAAGATAATATTTTTCTATTTGATATTAGATTAAAACCTTTATCAATATCTTTCTATTTGATAAAGAACTGTTATCAAAAATATACCAAGAACTCAACAATAAGAAAATGAACAACATGATTAAAAAATGGGCAAAAGACCTGAACAAACACTTCACCAAAGAAGAGACAAAGATGGTAAATAAACATATGAAAAGATGCTCCACCTAATATATAATTAAGGAAATGCAAATTAAAATGAGATACCAATACATACATATTAGAATGGCCAAAATCCATCACACTGACAACGCCAACTGCTGGCAAGGATGTGGAGCAACAGGAACTCTCATTCATTGCTGGTAGGAATGCAAAATGACACAGCCACTTTGGAAGACAGTTTGGCAGTTTCCTGCAAAGCTAAACGTGCTCTTACCATATGATGCAGCAATCACACTTGTTAGTATTTGCCCAAATGAATTGAAAACTTGTGTCCACACACAGAAACCTGCACATACATGTTTATAACAGCTTTATTCATAATTGCCAAAACTTGGAAGCAACCAAGATGTCCTTCAGTAAGTGCATGGATAAACCAACTGGTACATCTGCACAATGGACTGTTATTCAGTAATAAAAACAAATGAGCTTTGAATGTGGCTTTTGTTGCAGAAAAAGGAAAAAAAAATGAGCTATGAAACCATTAAAAGACATACACGAAACTGAAATACCTATTACTAAGTGAAAGAAACCAATTTGAAAAGACCACTTACTATATGACTCCAACTATATGACATTCTGGAAAAGGCAAAATAATAGAGACAGTAAAACGTTCAGTGATTGCTGAGGTTGGGAAGTGGGGAGGCATGAAAAGGCAGAGCATAGAGGATGTTTAGGGCAATGACACTACTCTGTGTGTTACTATAATTGTAGACTTATGCCATTACACACTTGTCAAAACCCATTGAATGTACAACAGCAAGAATGGACCCTAATGTAAATTACAGACTTTGGGTGACAGCAACATGTCAATGTTGGTTTATTCATTGTAACAAACATACCTATCTCGTGAAGAATGCTGATAGCGGGGAAGGCTGTGCATTTGGGGAGGTGGGGCCTGTAGGAACTCTCTGTACTTTCCACTATACTTTGCTATTAACTTAAAACTGCTCTAAAACTAAAGTCTATTGAAAACAAAGATTGAGCTAGCTGTTGATATAAACCCAATGTCTACTTTCATGTCCAGGAATTTATCTTTTAAAACCCATATTGATCATCAGTGGTGATCTCTTTTTCACTGGAAAAAGCTAACATACCACTTTCTGGAAGAAAATATTTGTTACCAAATTCTATTCCAGAACAATTATTTTGGTGGGTGTTCCTGTGACAACTATACATAAAAATAAGAATGTGCAGCCATATCTTGATACTCTAAAAATACAATAGGAAAAGATGTTAAGAAAATTATTTCTAAATTTGATCTAAGCCAAAATGTGGAGAAGCAATGGGGAAGAAAGTTATTTCTATATAATGAGTTTATAGGTTGTTTCTCATAACTTCTATAAAGTTTTCAGTAGTTTTCAACTTCTATCATGGAGTATATATATACATATATATATCATCAGATATATACATCATGTTTATATATATATAAAATGAGCAATAAACAGGTACCATTTTAAAAAGACACATTTATATATTTCATATATTTATATAATATATACGCATTCATATATACATCATGTTACCACCATCATAGATACAAGGAAGGATAGTAAAAATAGTAAGAAGATTAAAATAAAATATACCAAAATGGAAACAATAATTTAACTGTGGCTAGCTTTGTGTGATTAGACCAAGATTTTTTTTTAGATCTACTTTTCTTAGTTTTCTAGATGTTTTACAATGAATCTATATTTGTATATGGAAAAAATAAACCTGATTTTTATTAAACAAATACAAATTCGGTAACACTATCTTTAGAACATGTTTTAAATAAACTTGAGCATGAAGAAATTGTTATCACTATTGTGGTGAGCATTTTGAAAGATTAGCAGAAGCAGGGATAATGTGACATTTAGCTGATCTTTCAAGGGAAGCTAGACAAATGACACTTTTTAAAAAAGCAAATAGTAACTAATGCTGAAACATGCAATTTCTCGTATGATTCAGAAGTGAAGTGTCAACTTCTTCGGTGGAAAATTCCAACATTACCAAACGTAAGAAGGCACATACTTCAACAGAAGTGAAAAATATCTTGATTCACTTATTTAACACTGCTTCAGAGTTAATCCCAAAAAAAGTCTATTTTGAAAAAAAAAATTCTTACTCCTGTATACTATCCTTTGCAGTGAACTGGCATAAGTGTATCCAATGTATGTTGAATACCTAGCACGCTGGAAACATTTTTATTTATGTCATCTCTAATCCTTACAACAACAGTGCAAGGAAAGGATTAACATCTTCTTTTTACAGATAGGAAAACTGAGGCTCAAATTGGTATAATATCTCTTTTAACATCACATATCTAATATGTGGTGGAGGTGGGAGCTACACTTCTATCTGTCAGACCTTAAAGTCTGTGTTCTTTCTACCTCTCTGCCTCAGTCCAACAATTGGGATCTTTGCCATGACAACTCACCAGTTCATAACGTGCTTTTCACGAAGTTTTTGACTCAAACATTATCACTCAGCAAGACACCTCAACTAATTTACAAAATGCGACTTGAAAAGCAGGTTGTAATTTCCAAAAGCAGAAATCCAACCACAAAAGATAAAGACTTGACCAGTAGAGCTTTACAGAAGGAAGTAATGTAGGTAGTAAGGACACTTCCAGAAATGCCTGGAATCAGAGGAATCGATGTATCTCCTGGACTGTTGTGAGGAGCGGGGAGGAGGGAGGGATAGCTTTAGGAGATATACCTAATGCTAAATGGCGAGTTAATGGGTGCAGCACACCAGCATGGCACATGTATACATATGTAACTAACCTGCACATTGTGCACATGTACCCTAAAACTTAAAGTATAATAATAATAAAATAAAATAAAAAATAAAAAAAAGAAATTGTACTCGCTTGGTAGCAAAATTTCTATGTATTCATTTAAAATAATAGTCTTGTTTTAACCCCAACACACAGTAAGAGGGTGACTTCGACATTTACTCTTTACTCTCTTTTGCCTTCTTGCTGCAAGAATGGATTTCCTCCAAATTCTAATTATTATTATAACTGACATAAGTGAACTAGATTTTATTTTTAAGGGTAAAACTACACATAAGTAGATTTGTCTGGATCATCAAAATCAGACCCTGAAGAAATTAGTTCCTAGAGGGCAGGGTTGAACGTGGCTTATCGCTATATCCCAGTAGTGTTAAGCAGAGTAACCGGCAAAAATTAACAAATTATGCACCGAAGAATCATAGAACAGAAAGAGTTTAAAAAGAAGTAAGTTTCAGATTCAGTGTAACCCTAAGAAGCTAGTGTACCACAGGATGGCATGCCCTCTGCAGTCACGAAAGCAGCCTTTAGTCTTGGTCTGGGCTGTAACAAGTGCTCCTTGAGACTTGAGTTTTTTTCCTAACACTGCCACTAACGGGTTAAGTCGGAAACCTTTCACTTCCCTGAGCTTTTGATTCTGGTTTCCAAATCAGCACAATGGGAAACTGAAGAGAAGGAAAGAGAAAAAAGACAGAGAGGGTCAGAGATCCCTTCTGCCTTTACAATGCCATAGTTTGGACACAGGGTTTGGGCAACCGTGGCCCATGCACCAGTTCCAGCCTGTGGTCTCTTATTATACAGCTCATGAGCCAAGAATGATTTTTACATTTTTACATGGTTGAAAGAAGTCAAAAGAATAATAATATTTGGGGACATGTAAAAATTATATAAAATGCAATTTTTCAGTGCTCATAAAGTTACTTTGGAGCTCAGCCCCACTCCTTTATTATGTATTTATATGGCTGCTTTCACAGCTCAACAGCAGAGTTGAGTAGCTGTGACACAGACCATATGGGCCACCAAGCCTAAAATATTTACTACCTAGACCTTTACAGAAAAAGCATTGCTGATCTTTTACACAGACAATCAAGCAAGTGATCACCTGAGAAAATTAAAATGTATGTCTAGGACAAGGGAGGCCTATGTAAACTAGGTGACTATCTTCTCCACTATTTACGCAAGAACATTCACCACTGGGAGAGCAGGCTATGTGGCTTGGCAGCACTACTGCCACCTGTCCAACCTCCCCTCACCTGTGCCCTTTAAGTGACCAGCATTTCTAGGCATCCATGGAGTCGCAGGGAGCATTGTGATGGCTGTCCCCACATCGTCCCTTCCTCCTACTTCTTCACATTTTATTTTCTGAGTGGTTGTCAGAGGAACGCTGAATCCTGCTGTCGTTTTTTCAGACCCCAGGAGCCGTTTATGACAGTCTTGGCACCATGGAGCATTCCAAGCTCCTATCTCAGCACCACAGCTGCCTGCTCCTCGCTCAGTCAGGACGAGCTTGCCACAGTACATTTGCCCTTTAATCTCTCTCTCTCTCTCCCTTCTTCCGTCCCTTCTTCTCTCCCTCCCTCTCTCCCTCGCTCTTTCGGTCACACGGGCGTGTGCACACACACAAGTTCCAACTGGATAGAGAGAGAAACACTTTTTAGTTTCTTTCCAGGCCTAACAGAAAATTCATTTTTCACAAAAACGGAGCTGCTTTTTGTCCATTGTAAAAGTGTGGGTGTCCTTCCTTTTGGAGAGTAATAATGGTTTTCTACATGGCCTTCTCTGACCCATTGCTTGTTTGTGCATATGTGTGTGTGCATATGTGTGTGTGTACATGTGTATGTGCATGTGTGTCTGAGCGTATGTGTGTGTGTGTGTGAGAGAGAGAGAGTGTGTGGGGTGGGGGGGCAGGGAGGAAGGGAATGAAGGAGAGTGTGATAAGGAGAGAACACCTCAGAATACCCAGATAAAAGACATCATATCAACACTATAAAGTTAAGATAGGGGATTCCCAAGTCAATCACCTCAAGCTGGGGAGTCTGGAGTGTGTGGAGAGTGGGAGTTTTTCTCTGACAACTTATTCATTGTCTAAAAGAATTTTAGGGACAAAAACTTCTTTGAATAAAGGTGCCTGGAAAAAAAGTACAGGAAGAGAATACAGCAAAATGTTAACAATGGTTGTCTTTGGGTGGGAGGGAGAAGAGGCAGGTTATGGGTGATCTGTTTCTTTTATTTCAACTATTCTACGTTCCTCACTTTTAAATTTTTAATATTAAGCTGGAGAGGAAGGACATGAATATAGAGATGAACTCACTGAATATAGCAACGAATGCTGAGTTAGCCAAAGATGCATGGCTACCTTCCATATCCAATTATTTGAGAGCGAATCAGAAAACGCCACTTTCAGAAATGTGTTTTTAAAATGTGCTTTACAGTATTTCCCCTTTCAGCCTAAAGACTAAAAATTGAACACAATTGGATCTGCCCCATTGCCTCAAGGATTCTTAGACTAGTTCAGGATCCATTTTCTGGACATCACTGCTTTTTAGACAGGAAACAGGGCTAAATTCCTATTGACTTCCAAGTACACAGAGCCACAGATTTGTTTGTCACAGAATCCTCTCTCTGGGTCGCTCTGGCTCACACTCTCTCTCTCTCTCCTCCCCCATATCACCCCCAAATCAGAATGCATATATAAAATTCTGATTAATTGAAACATGGAATGATTAAGATTTTACTCTAAGATAAATTCATAGACTTCAGCTAAGATGTTTGGTTGAATAAATGCGTATACCTTCACTCCATCATTAAACCACATGAACATGAGATTATTAGAAATAAATAAATAAACCAATAAAGATAAGAAGAAAAGAAAGGACAATACCTTCAGCATTTAGGAAACTGGAAAGCAGAATCTGAGTGGCACCTGACAGCAGACCCAGGGATGCTGAACCCCAAGCAAGCAGTAGGAAGGCAACCAGGATCCCCAAAAGTTCAAGAGTTGGCAGCAAAATTTACCTCGGGAGGCAGAAGCAAACGTAAGCATGAAAACAGGGTTGAATGCTATTTAAGTAGTAGGTAGATCCCAGATCCTCTCCCTAGACTGGGTGACTGCATCCCACGGTGGCAGCAGGCTGGAGGTTTCCTCTCTACAGGGTAAAATATGGTGTCTCTAGGCAGGAGCTCTCCAGACACCAAGTGCTTAAATGTACACACTGAATACTGAGATCCTCCAGGTTTTCCTACCACTTGGTTCCAATGAGGGTGGCAGACACTTGATCAGAAGGTAAGATGATTCTTCTCTGGAGAGAATCTCTCCAGCCCAAGTGAAAAACTCAGACCCAGCAAGATCACCTTCCAAGGAAGCTTACAATCAGAGAGCTTCCATCAGCTTTTAGCTTTTCAGTGCTCCATTTCTTTTTTTTTTTAACAGAAACTGACAGCTAAGGGTCACCAGGCATCTGAGCAAAGCTTCTAACATGAATGGCAGAGACCAGAGCAAGCAGACAAATAAAAGCAGCCTGAATGGAAAGGACTATACTAGGAGATAAGACCTTCAGAAACCTATATGAGTGTTCTCAAAGAGATAAAAAGCAGTTACCATTTTCATGAAACAAGAACCCAATTTAAAGAATAAGAAAGCTCTTACAAGTTGAAAACATGACAGCGAAACTTGTTAAAAAATTCTCATTAGCATGCTAAGACAAAGTTGAGTAGATGACCCTTATGTCCTCCAGAAATAGAGCTAAAAGAAAAAAGTTGAAACACAGAAGAAAATTAAAAGAGGTTCAACACTAAAATGATCAGAATTCTGGAGATAGAAACAGAGACAGAGACAGAAAGAGAGAGAAATAAGAACAGACATATGCACCAAAGGAGAGAGAGAGAAAAAGCCTAACACAATAATAGCTGGAGATTTCAACACCCACCTTTCAGCATTGGACAGATCTTCCAGACAGAAAATCAACAAAGAAACATCAAATTTAATCTGCACCATAGACCAAATGGAACTAATAGATATTCAAGGAACATTTCATCCAATGGCTGCAGAATATAAATTCTTCTACTCAGCACATGGATCATTCTCAAGGATACAAGATATGTTACGTCACAAAGCAAATGCAATCACATTTGAAATCAGGACTAAGAAATTCATTTAAAACCATGCAATTACATGGAAATTGAATAACTTGCTCCTGAATAACTCTGGGTAAATAATGAAATTAAGGCAGAAATCAAGAAGTTCATGTTCTTTGGAACTAATGAGAACAAAGATACAACTTACCAGAGTTTCTGGGATGCAGCTAATAAAGCAGTGTTAAGAGAGAAATTTATAGTACTAAATGTCCACATCAAAAAGTGAGATCTCAGGTTAACAACCCAACATCACTACTAAAAGAACTAGAAAACCGAGAGCAAAAAACAAACAAACTTCAAAGCTAATGTGGGAGTGGGAGAGAGGGCATCTTTGTCTTATGCCAGTTTCCAAGGGGAATGCTTGCAGCTTTTGTCCATTCAGTATGATGTTGGCTGTGGGTTTGTCACATATGGTTTTTATTATTTTGAGGTATGTTCCTTCAATATCCAGTTTATTGAGAGTTTTTAACATGAATGGATGTTGAATTTTATCAAAAGCCTTTGCTGCGTCCATTAAGATAATCATGTGGGTTTTCTTCTTTAGCTCTGTTTATGTGATGAATCACATTTATTGATCTGCATATGTTGAACCAACCTTGCATCCCAAGGAGGGTGGATGTGACCCAGAATTTATCAATTTCTTCTAGATATTCTAGTTTATGTGCACAGAGTTGTTCATAATATTCTCTGATGGTTGTTTGTATTTCTGTGGGGTCAGTGGTAATATCGCCCTTATTGTTTCTGATTGTTTTTATTTGAATGTTCTCTCTTTCTCCTTTATTAGTCTAGCTACAAGTCTATCTATTTTTTTTTAACCAATGAGATTTTAATAGACCAATTACTGGGAAGTAAATAAATTTTAAAAAATCCTTCAACGAGCAAACTCCAAAAACAGTCAAGATTTTGTTTGAGTTCTTGAAAATTTGTAAGAAATAGATTATGAGTTTTATTAATTATTTCAGAAAACCAGTTTTTAAAAAATTAATATGGAACCAAAAAAGAGCCCAAACAGCCAAGGCAATCGTAAGCAAAAAGAGCAAAGCTGGAAGCATCGGACTTTAAACTATACTACAGGGCTACAGTAACCAAAACAGCATGGTACTGGTACACAAACAAACACATAGACTAATGTAACAGAAAAGAGGACCTAGAAATAAGACCACACATCTACAACTATCTTAAAGACTTAAATGTAAAACCCAAAGACATGTATGCAACCAACAATGGTATGAAAAAAGCTCAGCATCACTGATCATTAGAGAAATGCAAATCAAAACCACAATGAGATACCATCTCACACCAGTCAGAATCTTTGGCAAACTTAACAAAAACAAGCAATGGGGAAAGAAATCTCCCTATTTAGTAAACGGTGCTGGGATAACTGGCTAGCCATATGCAAAAGATTGAAACTAGACCCCTTCCTTACACCATATACAAAAATTAACTCAAGTTAGATTAAAGACTTAAAACTATAAAAGGATAAAAACCCTGGAAGACACCTGAGGCAATGCCATTCAGGACATAAGCACAGGCAAAGATTTCATGATGAAGATGCCAAAAGCAGTGGCAACAAAAGCAAAAATTGACAAACGGGGTCAAGTGAAACTGAAAATCTTCTGCACAGCAAAAGAAACTATCAACAGAGTAAACAGACAACCTACAACATGGGAGAAAATTTTTGCAAACTGTGTATCCCACAAAGGTCGAATATCCAGCATCTATAAGGAAATTAAATTTATAAGAGGAAAACAAACAACCCCATAAAAAAGTGGGCAAAGGACATGAACAGACACTTTTCAAAAGAAGACATATATGCAACCAACAATCATATGAAAAAAGGTCAACATCACTGATCATTACAGAAATGCAAATCAAAACCGCAATGAGATACCATCTCACACCAGTCAGAATGACTATTATTAAAAAGTCAAAAACAACACATGCTGGCGAGGTTGTGGAGAAAAAAGAACACTTATACACTGTATTTGGGAGTGCAAATTACTTCTGTCATTGTGAAAGATAGTGTGGTGATTCCTCAAAGACCTAAAGAGAGAAACACCATTTGACTCAGCAAACCCAGTAATGGGTTACTGGGTATATACCCAAAGGAATATAAATCATTCTGTTATAAAGACATGTGCATGCATACATTCACTGCAGCACTATCCACAACAGCAAAGATACGGAGTCAACCTAAATGCCTATCAATGGTAGACTGGATAAAGAAAGTGTGATACCTATACACCAAGGAATATTATGCAGCCATAAAAAAGAATGAGATCATGTCCTTTTCAGGGACATGGATGGAGCTGGAGGCTATTATCCTTAGCAAACTAATGCAGGAACAAAAAATCCAAATACCAGATGTTCTCACTTATAAGTGAGAGCTAAATGATGAGAACACAGGGACACATGGCAGGTGGGGGAACAACACACACTGGGCCCTTTCAGAGAGTGGGGACTGGGAGGAGGAAGAGGATCAGGAGAAACAACTAATGGGTACTAGGCTTAATACCTGAGTAATGAAATAATCTGTACAACAAACTCCCATGACGAGTTTACCCACATAACAAACCTGCACTTGCACCCCTGAACTTAAATAAAAGTTAAAAAAAAAAAAAAAGAAAAGAAAATGTCTCAAGTTGAACCACATAACTTCCTGGGTTGAAACACATGAAAACAAACCCACACCAAGGCACATCATCTTGAAAATTTGGAATATATAACAAAGAAGGAAAAGCTCCCCAAAGTTTTCAGAAAAGTTTTTTAAAAATTAATACTTACAAAGAATCAAAAATTAGATTGATTTTAGGCTTCTCAACAGCACTACCAGAAGCCAGAACATAATGGAGTAATATGTTCAAAATTTGAAAGGGAAATTACTTCCAATCTAAAATTTTATGCCCAACCAGTCATGTAAGTGTAATAAAGAATAATGTCATCTTTCAGAACAATTTGCTTCAGTGTATCCTTGCTTGAAGAAGTTATTGGAGGATACAGTCCATCAAAAGAGAGATTTGGGGCATGGGGCAGTACAAAACAACAGAGTGGGGTTGTATCCATATTTAAGAGGCAGCAGCATTCCAGAGTCAGGGAGTGCTGGGGGAGAAGCCCTCTCCAGTACCCCTGGAGCTCAAACCTCTCATTCCCACATTCCTATGTCCCATTGCTGCCCATGAATTCTGATCACATATTCCTTTGACAGAGGCATTTCTGTCACTGATTATCTATAGTCAAGTGGCTCTTCCTGAGGCCACAGGAGATAATCTATTGCTTTTCATTAAATGTCAATTTGATTAGCTTAGCCACGAGGTCAACACTATGCCGTCAGCTCTAGGTTCTTAGGAAGACGTCTACTTATAAACTGGTTAAAGAACATGGTCCTTCTACCTCTGACTTGTGTGTTTCTGGGCAAGCTACTTAGCCTTTCTCTCATCTGTGAAAGGGAAATACAGTATCAGAACGCTGTCATGAAGCTGAAACGAAATAACAAACATAAAGTTCTTATCTTGGGCTCCACACACAGGAAGTGTTGAATATGTAACAGTTCCTTTTCCTCCAAGGCCAGACCACATGGAGGACCCTAAGACAGCCACAGCCTTGGTCAGCAGGACAAACACGAGGTTCAAATTGCACCATTAAAGCCGTGGCCGAATGGCTGCTCTGCCTCTGGGTCACTCACTGCTACAAGGCTCTACCAGTTCCCATCCCGGATAGGAAGTGGGCTTTTTGTTTGTTGGTTTTTTAAGAGATGGAGTCACCCAGGCTGGAGTGCAGTGGCATGATCGTGGCTCACTGCAGCCTCAAACTCCTGAGCTCAAGTGACCCTCCTGTGTTGGCTTCGTGGGAGCAGCTAGGACAACAGGCCAACAGGTGTGCACCCCCACACCTGGCTAATTGTTTTATTTTATTTTATTTTATTTTTAGAGATGGGGTCTTGCTATGTTGCTCAGACTGGTCTCAAGCTCCTGGCCTCAAGCAATCCTCCCATATTAGCCTCCTAAATTGCTAGGATTACAGGCGTGAGCCACTGCTCCCAGCAAGTGTTCTAAATACAGTTTCCACCCTGCTCTTCGGAAGAGGGACAAGGAGCAGAGAGACCGTCCTTGAAATATAGAAAATAAAAGCATTCCACTATTTAGTGGGGGCAGAGTTCATGATCAGCCACAACTAGTTACTCAACTGTAATCCAGAAGTCCCACTGATATAGGAGTTAAAAAGAAAATATTTAGGCAGATAGTGAGGGTAAGAAAGTCCTTGGTGAGGTTTCCCTCTTAATAAAAAGCAGCCCCAAAATCATTTCTTTTCTAACAAAGAACAGCCTGTAAAATCGAGCTGCAGACATGGACAAGCAAGCTGGAAGCTTGCACGGGTGAATGCCCGCAGGTGTGACAATAGGAGAAGGCTACCTAGGGGCTAGATATGTTCAACATGGCGACTCCATCTTCCCTTTTTTTTTTTTTTTTTTTTTTCTGTGAGACAGGAGTCTCGCTCTGTCGCCAGGCTGGAGTGCAGTGGTGCTATCTCGGCTCACTGCAATCTCTGCCTCCCGAGTGCAAGCAATTCACCTGCCTCAGCCTCCTACAGGCGCCCGCCACCACGCCTGGCTAATTTTTTTATATTTAAGTAGAAACGGGGTTTCACCATGTTGGCCAGGATGGTTTATCAACCCCACATACAGTAAGGAGCAGACAACGTGGCACAGGCCAAATAGAAAACCTATTTGCATAATAATAAGATTAGGGTGGGGTGGCCAGCTTCTTCCAGTGCTATGTAAACGTCTCACCCCGGTCAAACAATCTTTGGGCCCTATGTAAATCAGACACCGCCTCCTCAAGCCAGTCTATAAAACCCCGTGCACTTCACCACAAAACCAGAAGACACATTCAGGAGCCCCTCTCTCTCTCTCTGCAGGAGAGAGAGCTGTTCTCTTTTCTCTTTCTTTTGCAATATTAAACCTCCACTCTTACCCTCACTCCATGCGTGTCCATGTCCTTGATTTCCTTGGCATGAGGCAACGCACCTCAGGTATTACGCAGACGAACTATGCCGCTTCATCATGGTTCTGTCTTCTTTAGGCTGTAGGACAAACCGCCCCTTTGCTCTGCAACCCTACCCGGGCCTTGCTCAGGTCTCTTTCCAGCTGAATCACAGAGCCAGATAAAGTCCCCCGGGTTAAGTCTTCTTTTAAAGGGGCAGCCACTCCAAAGAAGACAGCACGATCAGTTTCAGGTGGCCCAGGGGTGCTACCAGGGTTACTCTGCGCTCAGCCACTCTCAGTTCAAAGGCTCACCACGTGCAGCAATGGAACACAGGCTCATCTAGTTGAAAAAAAAAAAGTGGGAGGAAAAGTACTGTTTTAATTCTTATTTCCCAGGCAGAGGGGAGGTTATAAAAAGCTAATTTCTAGCTGGGCGCCGTGGCTCACGCCTGTAATCCCAGCACTTTGGGAAGCCAAGGCCGGCAGATCACGAGGTCAGGAGTTTGGGACCAGCCTGGCCAACATGGTGAAACCCCATCTCTACTGAAAATACCAAAATTAGCCAGGCGTGGTGGCGCATGCCTGTAGTCCCAGCTACTGGGGAGGCTGAGGCAGGAGAATCGCTTGAACCCAGGAGGCGGAGGTTGCAGTGAGGCAAGATTGTGCCATTGCACTCCAGCTCTGGGCGACAGAGCAAGACTCCGTCTGGGGGGGAAAAAAAGGCTGATTTCTGAGCAGTGAGCCAGAGTTTAGTTGATCTCTTCTGCTACTTACTCATGTTTCCCCAAGGAAACCACATCACAAATCTGAGTCTCCTCCGGGAAAGGAGGGAGTAGGATTTGCGGTTCTCTCAGCCTCCTTTCCACAGTAGGACTCTGACTTCCACTTCTAAAACACTTTTCTGCAAGCATCGGTACCTCATAAATGTTATACTATACTCGAGACAGCAAAGGAAAGCACAGATTAGCTATTGTTACAGGACAATGGAAACTTGCTGTCTTCTCCAAGTTTGGCATTGGAGCCAAAGATCAAGTGCCAAACAGTAGTTGTCAAGAATCCTCTCATTTACAGTCAGGTTCTAGACCTTGTGTGCAAAACTTGCAAAGGATGTGGGCAAAAACCAGTTTTGCCAGAATAGATTATTAGATACCTCCAACTTTTATAGGACAGGACTAAAATTTCTTTATTTTTTTTTATTATACTTCAGGTTCTAGGGTACATGTGCACAACGTGCAGGTCTGTTACATACGTATACATGTGCCATGTTGGTGTGCTGCACCCATTAACTCGTCATTTAACATTAGGTATATCTCCTAATGCTATCCCTCCCCCCTCCCCCCACCCCACAACAGGCCCCGGTGTGTGATGTTCCCCTTCCTGTGTCCACGTGTTCTCATTGTTCAATTCCCACCTATGAGTGAGAACATGCGGCGTTTGGTTTTTTGTCCTTGTGATAGTTTGCTGAGAATGATGGTTTCCAGCTTCATCCATGTGCCTACAAAGGACATGAACTCATCATTTTTTGTGGCTGCATAGTATTCCATGGTGTATATGTGCCACATTTTCTTAATCCAGTCTATCATTGTTGTACATTTGGGTTGTTTCCAGGTCTTTGCTATTGTGAATAGTGCCGCAATAAACATACGTGTGCATGTATCTTTATAGCAGCATGATTTATAATCCTTTGGGTATATACCCAGTAATGGCATTGCTGGGTCAAATGGTATTTCTCGTTCTCGATCCCTGAGGAATCGCCACACTGACTAAGACTAAAGTTTCATTGGAAGATTACACTGAGTACTTCTTCGAAGGGTTGTGTGCTGTATGAACCCCTCCTTACCCAATTCTCATGGATGGGAAAATGCTTTTCCTTCATTTTAAAGCAAATGAGCTGCATGAACAGGAACTTCAAATTAACCATTCAGACAGATTGGCCCACGTCCCTGAAGCTTGAAGAACTCGGGAGCTGCAATTACATCTGAATAAAGTCCAAAGGCAAAAGGCTGTGGCCGAGTTGGAATAATGGGGGTGACAGAAGAGATTGGAATTGGGAGTGGAACATACTTCACATGAAACCAAGCGAAGGTGTGTGCATGTTTTCTATGGGCCAAATATGAACTGCATAATAGAGAATGAGCCATCGATTTGAAGGAAGACTCTGACCAAAAAAGCTTCCTGCCAGGGGTGAGGCAACTTCAGCAGGAAGAGGCTGCCCTGGACCACCAGAGGCAGATGGTAGGAGGGCTCTTAGTGGCCGCCCAGAAAATGTATTGCCTGAGGTAGTGACCTGCTGTCAGAGATCTCTACCGGGGGAATTTCTGAGGAACCCACAAGAAACGGCCAACAACTGCATGTCTGCACCCAAAATGTGAGGCCATAATACAACTGAACGATTCATTAAGACCTATCTGTTCCTCTATCTCTCCTTTCTCCCTGCCTCCTAGCCAGCCCTAGAAGGGCCAGAAACCACTGCTAAGGAGTAGGGGGTGGACAATCAGAAGCCAAATACACTGCCCTCCTCTCCCCTCCCACTGTGGGTTTTTCAAGCTGGGGCTGTCACAAAGAGGAGGAAGGATGAGGGGTTTTTTTTGCTGATACTTTATTATGACCATTTACGAACATACAGCAAAGTTGAAAAAACTTTACAGTGAACAACTATATCTTCACCAACTTGTATTCTTGTTTTATCTCATGTCTAGCCATAGATCCATCTCTCTATCCATCCGCTAATTCATCTTAGTTTTTAGGCATTTCAAAGTAAATTACAGACATCAATAACTCAACATGCATTAACTAGAATTTGGTATTTTTTTTTCCTTTTGGTGTAAAATTTACAAATGATGAAATGAAAACTTTTAAGTATGTATTTGCTGAATTTTGACAAAAATGTACATTTGTGTAACCCAAAATTGTATCAAATAAAGAACATTACCGTAATCTCTGATACAGTTTGGCTGTGTCCTCACCCAAATCTCATCTTGAATTGTAGCTCGCAGAATTCCCAAGTGTTGTGGGAGGAACCCAGTGGAAGAGAATTGAATCATGTGGGCAGTTTCCCCCATACTGTTCTTGTGGTAGTGAATAAGTCTCACAAGAGCTGAAGATTTTATAAAGGGAAAGCTCTTTTGCTTGTTTCTCATTTCTCTCTTGTTTGCCACCATGTAAGATGTGCCTTTTGCCTTCTGCCATGATTGTGAGGCCTCCCCAGCCACGTGGAACTGTGAATCCATTAAACCTATTTTTCTTTATAAAGTACCCAGTATCAGGTATGTCTTCATCCGCAATGGAAAAACGGACTAATGCAACCTCAGAAAGTCTCCTCATGACCTATTTCAGTCAATCTCCACCTCTATACCCTTAGATTTTTTCCAGTGTAGACTGTTTGCCAACTTTAGAAATTCCACATAAATGGAATCATATTATGATAACCCTATATATAAGGATTCTTTCAGTCCGCAAAATAATTTTTATATTTATCCACGTGGTTGCACATATCAATAACTCTTGCATTTTTATTGCTGAGTAGTATTTCACGGTATGAATTACCATAGTTTGCTATCTGATCTTCTATTTATGGTCACCAGGAGTATTTCCAACTTTTGATTATTATGAATAAAGCTATTGTGTTCTTCTATAAGTATTTTTATTAACATGTATTTTCACTAATTTGGGGTAAATGCCTAACAGGAAAATTTATTATTGATGAGAAGTATATTAGTTATGTAAGAAAATTCCAGAAATTTGGCAAAGTGGTCGTACTATTTTATATTCCCATTTAGCAATATAGGAGAGTTACAGTTGTGCCATATTCTTGCCAACATTTGGTGTTTAGTCTTTCCAAACTTAGTTATTTTGTTGGGTGAGTAGTGGTATCTCACTGTGGTTTTAATTTGCATTTCCTTGATGCTTATTGATATGGAACATTTTGTCCCACCTGTATATTAGCTTTGCAAAGTGGCTCCTCAAATCTTTTCCCCTTCTGAATGGTGTTTTTGTTGTTATTGTTGTTTTGTTTTGTTTTGAGACAGAGTTTCGCTCTTGTTGCCCAGGCTGGAGTGCGATGGTGTGATGTCTGCACACCACAGCCTCTGCCTCCTGGGTTCAAGCAATTCTCCCGCCTCAGCCTCTCAAGTAGCTAGGAGTACAGGCATGTGCTACCACCCCCAGCTAATTTTGTATTTTTAGTAGAGACAGGGATTCTCCGTGTTGGTCAGGCTGGTCTCAAACTCCTGACCTCAGGTGATCCATCCGCCTCGGCCTCCCACAGTGCTGGGATTACAGGCGTGAGCCACCATGCCCAGCCCAATGTCTATAGGATCTGTAGTGATAATTTCACTTCTCTCTTTCACTTTGATATTGATAATTTCTATTTTCTCTCTTTTTTTCATGATCAGAGTAGCTAGAGGTTTATTAAGTATTGATCTTTCCAAAGAGCCAACTTTTTTGCCTTGTTAATTTTCTCTATTATTTTGTCTGACTTCAATTTGGTTGATCCCTGCACTTTTATCTTCATTGCTTCCTTCTTACTACTTCCTTGAAGTTTTCTTTGCTTTGTTTTTTTTTTTTGTTCGTTTTGTTTTTTTGGTTTTTTTTTTTTTTTCAATCTTCTTTAGGTGGACCTTTAGGTCATTGATTTTAGACCTTTCTCTTTTTTTCTACTGCAGTATAAGCATGTACAGCTATATTTCCCTCTGGGCACTACCATGGCTGTAATTCACGAGTGTTGACATGTTGTATTTTGATTATCCCTCGGAGTAAAATATTTTCTATTCAAACCTGTGATTTCTTCTTGGGCTTGTGGATTATATTTAATCTCCAAATACTTGGGGCTTTCCTAGATCTCTTATTATTCATTTCTAGTTTAATCCTATTGTGGTCAGGGAACACATACTGCATGAATTCAATTTGTTTTAGTCGATTGAGTCTTTTTTTTATAACCTAGCATACGACCTATCCTGGTGAACACTGCATGTACTTGAAACGTATAAGTATTCTGCAGTTATTGGGTGTAATCTTCCATAGGTTCGTTCAAGATGGTGGATACTGCCGTTCAGATCATCTGCATCTTTACTAAGATTTTGTCTAGCTTATCTGTCAATTGCCTGAGAGATGGGTATTAAAATCACCAATAAAAATTGTGGATTGTCTATTTATCCCTTTAGTTCTATTTTTGTTTCGTGCAAATTGAAGCTCTGATTTTACGTACTTAATTTTTTTTAATCTGTCTTCCTCATGAAATGAGTCTACTGTTATCATGAAATGTCTCTATCTTTGGCAATACTCTTTGACTTATAGCATATTTTATTTGATATTAATATAGCTACTTCAGACTTCCATTACTGACGGTTTGCATAATGTGTCTTTTTAAGTGTACTTATTTAGGGCTGGGTGCAGTGGCTCACACCTGTAATCCCAGCACTTTGGGAGGCTGAAGCAGGCAGATCACTTGAGGTAGGAGTTCAAGACCAGCCTGGCCAACATGGTGAAACCCCGTCTCTACTAAAAATACAACAATTAGCTGGGCGTGGTGGTGGGTGCCTGTAATCCTAGCTACTCCAGAGGCTGAGGCAGGAGAATTGCTTGAACCCGGGAGGTGGAGGTTGCAGTGAGCAGAGATTGTGCCATTGTACTCCAGCCTGGGAGACAGAGCAAGACACAGTCTCAAAAAAAAAAAAAAAAGAAAAGAAATTAAATGTACTTATTTAGACCTACCTATATTTGTCTTTTTTCTATTTAAAGTGTGTATTTTATATACAGCACATAATTGGGTCTTGTGGTTTTTTAAATCAATTCTGGCCATCCCTGCACTTCAAGTGGAGTATGTGGTATGATTCATTAACATTTAATGTTATTAAATATAGATTTATCAGTAGTTGAATGATGTAATTGGATTTAGGCTTACCATTTAATTATTTGTTTTACTATTTTATTTGTTTTCTGTTTACACCCCCCTCCCTCCCCACTTTTTCTCCTGTTCCTTTTCTCCTGATGTTTTTTGGACAATTTAAATGTTTTTGGAATTTCATTTTAAAGTATCCATTGACTTTTTAGGTATACTGGTTGAATATCCCTTACCTGAATTCCTTGGGACAAGAAGTGTTTTGGATTTTGAATTTTTTCAGATTTTGGAACATTTACATGTACATAAAGAGATCTCTTAAGGTTAGAACAAAAGTCTAAACACAAAATTCACTTATGTTTATATACACCTCATACACGTAGGCCGAATGAAACGTTACATAATATTTTTAACAATTTTGTGCCTGAAACAAAGTTTGTACACATTGAACCATCAGAAAGCACACATGTCACCATCTCAGCCATCCATGTGGACGGATGTCAGATTTTGGAGCATTTGGGATTTCAGGTTTTATGGATTAGGGATGCTCAACCTATACCTCTTTTCATTATCTTTTGTTGTTATTTTATGTATTAAAATATGCAAGGAAGGGTGAAGTTTTAAATTGGATGAGATTTTTGAATTTTGAAATTAAACTAGACAGGATTTTTTTTTTTTTTTTTTTTTTTTTTACTTTAAGTTCCAGGATACAGGTGCAGAATGTGTAGGTTTGTTATATAGGTCTATGTGTGCCATGGTGGTTTGCTGCACCTCTCAACCCATCATCTAGGTTTTAAGCCCCACATGAATTAGCTATTTGTTCTAATGTTCTCCCTCCCCTCATCCTCCACCCCGTGACTGGCCCCAGTGTGTGATTTTCCCCTCCCTGTGTCCATGTGTTCTCATTGTTAACTCCCGCTTATGAGTGAGAACATGCGGTGTTTGGTTTTCTGTTTCTGTGTTAAACTAGACAGGATTTCTTAATAGCTTAAATTACTCAGTGAAATATGAAATGTCAAAGATTCTATCCAATGGGTGGGTAAGAATGAGTCCACTTAGCAACTTTGAAGAAGTAAAGGGAAAAAACAAAACATTTCTAATTGCTCTCTGCCACAGCCAGTGCATTCAATAACCTTTTCTACTGTCCTTGTTATTGTTTTTCTATTGTTATTACAATCATCATTATTTTTCCCAGATGAAAAAATAGGAGTGGTGGGGCTGATAGTGAGAAAATAAGGATTGGGAGCTGCCCCTTTGCCTGCGTTTACCATTTGAGAAATGCAGTCAACATGATGCTTTTCACACGGCAGACTGGGAGGGCTTTTGCCTCTTTATGTTTCCGGTTATGTGCTGCATAGAAAATAAATTCTTCTTTCCAAGGGAAACTGTTAGATATATTTGAGAACAATGCCAGCTCTAGACCAAAACCTGTTATAAGTGGAAATATATTGTTTTATTTCCCTGTTTTTTACACTATTCCTTCTCTAAGAGCTGAGGTAGGAGGAGAAAGAAGTGAAGAACTATTGACATGTGCAACAACATGGTTGAATATCAAAAACCTTTTCTTGACTGAAAAAAACCTTATACCATGGAGTGATCACAATATGATTCCACTTCTATCAAATTCTAAAATCTGAGCTGGAAAAATATCCAAGGGTATATTGGGGTTGCGGGCAGACTAAGAGGAGGCATAAGGGAACTTTCTAGTCTCTACTGTGATCCAAACCCATGCTATGGACTTGGTACACAGTATCTCATTTAATCCTCAAAATTACCCTATCCAGGTAGTTACTGTCACTTCCTCCACTTTATGCGGAACACAAAGCTCAGAGAATCTAGGTACTGTGTCCTACACCTACTTAGAAGTCACCAATTCCTAAGGTACTTTAAAATGTTTTAAATAAAAATTAATAAAGTAGGCAAAAAATAGCATGTAAATAGCATTTCTACAAATATTTCCCAAGACAATTTTCACACTGATGTCCAAAGACATTAACAAGAATGTTTTCCACAACATTGCTTAAAATAATGAAAAACTAGAAGCAACCTAAATGTCCGTTATTAGAAGAGTTAGATTAGTTCTCATACTTCCACATTATAGAATACTGTGCTGATGTTGATAGATAAAATTAAGTTAAAAAATCACATTCACCTTCTGCTCATGGGACCAAGGAAACATGTTCAAGAATATTCATTGCATTTGTGCATAAACACAAATACAAAGGAAAAAGTAGAGGCTCTCTACATGTGGTTATTTATTGGAGGAGGAAGAGGAGAAGGATGAAAGAAAACTTGCACTTTGTATATGCTTTGGTAGTGTATGGTTTTGTATATAACTTGAGTGATTTTCTTAAATATATTTTAAAGTCTGCATAATTACTAGGTAAGAAAACAATTGAGTTGTTTTAGTAAAAATCCTTCCCATTACTGCAACAGATTTCTACAGCCAGAATGTTCCTAGTCCCTGAAAAGGGGAACCACTAAAACTAGAAGAAAGAAATACTGACACCAGAGAGGCAGAGTTAGAGAACGTGGATCTAAAGCATCAAATCTGTCTGCAGCCCTGATTAGCAACTTCAGGAAGCCTTGCAATTTTCAGTACTTAATAAATGAGTCACATTGAAAACAAATCCATGACAGCTGTGCATTAGAAAGAAAGGTTACATGTGTCCCCAGTAATAAAGTATGTGCACTATATAAATTAAAAGATAGCAATTTACACTCATATGATTGGCAAAAAAAATGTTAAAGCCTCACGATACCAAGTGAAGCCAAACACGAAACAAGCTTCCCGGTATTGCTTGTGGGAATACAAATTGTTACAACTACTTCAAATAATTGGCAGTTATAGTGAAAATGAAGACAAGCCTACCCTACAGTTTAGCAATCCCACTTCTAAGAACATAGTAAGAGGGATTCTTCCCAAGAAGCCTATACAGGAATGTATATGGCACTATTGCTTGTAATTGTACATCATGGTATTTCCATATGGTAAAGTATTATTCAGCAGGGAAGGTAAATAGACCAGAGGTAGATGTTTCAATATGAATAAATTTTAGAAAGATAAAATTGAGCATAGGAAGCTGCAACTGTATCTATAATGCTTTGTTTTGCCAGAAAAAAACGAGGAGGAAAGCAAGGGACAACAAAAAGTAAAGAATCTGAAATATACGTAGGAAAATATCAATATTTTAAAATTTTTCATGGTGAATATATGGGTGTTTCTTATATTATTTTCTGTCTTTTCTATATGCTTGAAATATTTAATAATAAAGAAAAATATAAAAGGCATAGGAAAGAATATTCTGAGAAAATACATCAAAATGTTTATGGTTATTATCTCTGGTAAGATTTTAAATGACTTTAATTTTCCTTTTTATGTTTCTCTATATGTCCTAATCACAGCATATTAAATATGTATTTCATTTATGACAATACAAAATGTATTATTTTAAAACTCATATATATATATACAGTTATTTATGACATATGATGATGAAACCATATGAAACATAGCAAAAAGAATGAAAACTAGACCAAGATATTAAGAGTTGTTGACTTTTGGATGGAGCTATGGGTGACTTTTTTCTTCACGTTTATCTCTAAACTCAATTTTTCTATAGTGGGAAAATAAAATATTTGTGAAAGCTGGAATAAATAAAAGCTGTAGGTTTTAAGTGAAAAGAAATTCAAATAATTTTTCCAGCATTATAAAATGTTAATATTCCTAAAGATGAAGTAAGTTAGAAAAACATCAGTGTTTTTAAAGAAAAATTAGAAGATTTTTAAAGGAATTCTGTTATGATACTGCAGTTTATATTGATGCTGTGTGTTTGCTAGCTCCGCTAATCAGAATATTAAGTTAAATAGTATATGCTATGCCATAAATAAATTCTATGAGCAGAGGTTACTAAGAAAGGGGATCACAGTGGTTAAAAGTGGCCTGGTGACCTGAATTGCTTCCAGTGGGAGGGAAACATCAGAGTCATTTGATCAATGAAGTGTCTTTTATAAATCTCCAGGAAATCTCCTAGGAAGCATTTAAAGAGATGGATTTCTCGTTACTTCTGATATATGTTCCAATTAAATTTTTACCATTGCCCCCATGGGACTGCCCAGCCTAAGAGATGGAAACTGTGATTCCAGCCCACTGACGCTCACCATCTATAAGATTCTGGCACATTGAGGAGGCCATGACCAGCTTGTTGACTGAAATCTATGAAGTAGAATGATGATACTGCTCCAGCAATCTTGAAACGCTGCCCCAGAATCAATGCAAAGCTCTGGCAACCTTAGAATTTCCATATGCCTAGGCAGGTAGTTGTCTTCAAATATAAGAGCAATGTCATTTTCTGGAGAAAAGAAAAGAATCTAGAAAAAGCCTACAATGGTCTCCTCTGCCCTTCCTCCCCACTCCATCTAGTTAGTAACAGCCAAATCCAGGCACACAGATGTCCTAACTCCTACACCTGAGGTTGCCACAACGTGCGTTAGGTGACACGTCTTATAAGGCACATACGCAAACAATTATGGGTTCCGAACAACAGTAACTCAAGCAGAAAAATCAGGAATTAGTGCCCCTAAGTGTACCAGTGGAAAAAAAAGGAGGCTTAGAGAGTTTAAACAACTTTCCCTCACAGTTGATGAGCCAAGATGGCCTTAGACAAGCTGAGAAAATGACAGAGTGGTAGCAAAAAGGTTTCGAAGGCAGAAGAGCAAATGAAGCCATGAATTCTACAATCTACATCTTTTTAGCCCTTTCTCTTTTGCACTTTTCTTGGGTAAACTAACTAGACCATACAAAAACATTCCCACCCACAATTTTGCTGCCATTGCTTTAGGGCCTCACCTCATTCCTAACCAGAGGGAATGCCGCTGATCCCTTATCTAGTTATTTAACGACCTCCTATGCTCTGCCCTTTCACTTTGCTTTCTCCATGCCACGATAAGACATACAAAGATTTTTCTGCCCCCAAGATTGTGCAGCTCTCTACTCTGCTAATTACTCCCAACTGAAAAATAACTGTTCCGCATACTCGGAGATATATGGTAATCGAGCAACCAAATACGCCTTTTGCCAATGACATGTTTTTTTAGTATGTTCAAATGAGAGCCTCATTGGAAATTATTCACTTTCTTCTGAGTTGCAAAGGAAAATGAAAGGCAAATTATGGCTATATATGCACGTGTTTGCACGGATCCCATTCCATTGAATTAATTTGTTGCCATCCACAGAGCTATTGACAACTAGCTCTTTTCTCGTGCCTTTTCACTTACCAAGTGGAAATGATTACAGACTTAATTTCTTTGAGGGCTTATTTAGAGTGGAAAGGGCACCTTTGTAATGCAGAAGTAATAACGTCCACCAGAGATGATAAAAGAACAATAGATCCCAGTGTTTCCACAGTGGAGAGAGATAATAGAATGTCAGATTTTAAAGGAATTCAAACCATTACTGATTTTTCAGATGAGGAAACGGAGGCTCAAAGAGGTTAGGGAGTTAACCAAAGTTGGTTAGTTTTTTAGTTTGCAGCAGAGCTGAAATTAGGCGCTAAGTATTGCAACACCTGGCCTCTCTCTTCCTCCCTTCCATCCTGCTGCTAGTAGTGTCAGTGGCAAATACAAGCCAGTTCTAGGAAATGTGGCCTTAGGGAGGAGTACTAAGGACAAAGTACCAGTGTATCCTTGCAATTTTCTACACATTCCTTAATTACAGGGCTTCATTTATTCACAGAAGCTGCCTCTCTTGTACATGACCCAACACACACACACACACTGTCTGATGGAGATAATTTATCATTATCTGAATGCATTCAGAGTGGTCAGTTTCAGCCAGAGTGAAGAACAGAGAAAGGCCGGGTCAAGGGCATTATAGAAGTAGCCCTTCTTGCTTCACTCTCCAGCCCTCCACCCACTCCCATCAGCCCAGGTAGATACACTTTCATTACACTTCTCTTTGATGCAAAATGTGGAAATCTTGGTCAGGCAGCTCTGCTTATCAGTGGGTTCTTAATAACCCATTTTTATCAAACTTCATCTGATGGATCCAAAATATGTTTGATCTTAGTATAAAGTACCCTTATCAGTCCTACTGCTGAAATGACACTGCCCAAAAGTGAATGGTGTTAACAGCAAAGTCTCTAGAACCAGAAAGAAGTATGTTTAAATCCAAAATCCATCACTTTCTAGCCATGCTGCCATGTCCAATTCATTCTCATTAAACAATATTTTACTGAGCACACTAGACTGTAGGAATGCAAACAGATAAGGCCTTACCTTTCCTGTCTTCACTCTTGGGAGGCAGAGCCAGACACTAACATCTATTACTCAAGTTAATGTAAAGGATTGACTGGTACAAGTGTTGTACAGCCAGGTCCCTGGAACGTTGAGAGCACCCAAGAGAAGGCTTTGCGCCAGTTACAAAGGTCAGGAACGGCTTCCCCTAGGAAGGGCAGCTGGGGCTGAGATCAGAAGCACAAGTGGGCAGTAAGTGGGTAAAGTAATGAGGATATGGCATACCAGGCAAAGGTGTGGTGCAGGGGGACCTTGACCTTGGCCAGTACAAGACTCTGAGTCTTTGCAGTGCAGAGCATGGAAGAGGGGCACAGAGTGAGGTCAGAAAAATGGAAAGGTGACCACGGTGAGGAGGTTTGTCCTCATTCTAAGGAGGATTGGGAGCTGTGGGGCATGGTCTGACCTACGTGGAGGACAGACTGGTGAACAACACGGACACAGGCACACAGGTCAGGAGGTAATCCATGCAAGGGCTGCAATGAGAATTTCAATGGAAAGAGAAAACAGAAGCTAAATGATATTTAAGAACTAAAACCAGCAGGCCTGAATGGTAAACTGGATATGAGAAATGAGAGAAAGGGATTAAACCAGAGCTCACTCACAGGACTTTGGCTTGTGTCACTGGATAGGTGAGGGCACCATTCTCCGAAAAACAGAATGTAAGGAGATGCAGACTGGTGACTTAAACCTCTGAGCCTCAGTTTCCTCATCTGTAAAATGGGGAAGAGTCCTACTTATATCACAATGTTGTTGAAAGCACTAGAAAAGGTTCCTAGAAAATGAAACCTCCATACAAAGTGGTGTATGGCTCTCCCCCAAATAAATGGGACCTATTCTTTTATGCTTCTCTTTCTTGATCTGATTGGAAATTCAGGATCTCAGATATTCATTTATTTTCAGCCTCTTCTCTGATGGCTCTACTAAATTGCTGGTTTGCTGATCTAATCACCCTCAATAGTCTCCAGCACTCCATACTAGTAAAATAGTCAAGGTGGCAATTGCTCTTCTAAACTGATTATTGTAAATGTCACTGCTACAGTGCAGCTCGCAGTGGCTCACTTGGCTGTTCAAGGGAAAACATTTATTGCAAATGTGACTCCCATTACTTGCCAAATGTTCATGCACAAATGCATTTATTTTACCAGGAGTGTGATGTTGGGTCATTCAAGGGGAATGGGAAAACACCACTACAATTGAAAGAGAGAAAAAAATAGCATGTATACAGCACTCCAGAGTCTGTAAAGCCCCTTCATATACACTATCAACGGGACCTCTCACTGGGTGTGGAGAGGTTGAGGGGAGGAGAAAGGGCAGGTATATTCATGATTTTTACAAGGAAGGTTAACTTAGACAAAGTAACATGCTCAAGCTCACAACACGAGGAACTAATACATTTCTGTGACTAAAATACAAGTCTTAGGGGCTCCCGATTCTATCATATGTCTATCAAAATCTCCCACCTGCCAACATGAAGCCATACAAGGTAGATCATAAAAACCATGCAGCCACTGAACAGAGGAGAGGGGCAAGATCAAAACTCATATGAACTTTCACAATAATATTATATAAATTCATTATTACTTCATTATTATCATTGTGGTTATCATTAATAAACAAGATGTGTTGAGCAACTGCTACATGCCAGACCAAATGTTAAACACTTCATTTGTGCTGTTTCATTGAACCTTTACTTTCCACATAGGTGCTTTTAAAAATCAGCATTATGAAAGTACAGAAGAGAAAATGGAAGCTGAGAAAGCTTAAGTTGCTTAAACCTGCTCCTGAATCCTAGGCTTTTTCCAAAACCACCCTACTAGACTGTCATGCTTCTGTGAGATATATTGTATTCACAGCAGAGTCAAATACCAATAAGGCCAAGATAATGAGTAATTTTGAGTTATTCTGGGTTTTTTGGGAAATTCAAACATTGTTTAATTTAGGACATTAAATGCATTGTCCTAAAAGCATTTAATGTAGCTCCACCCGTCCTATAAGCAAATAGGCATGAACCCTTATCCGGGCCAATACCACTCTAGTTTCTCTGTAATGGTACCTTTTGTGTATAGAATATTCATATCTCAAATGCTGATCCTCATTCTGTTGCTTACTGGCCAAATAACCTTGGGCAGGTGACTTAGCAGCTCAGACGCTCAATTTAGTAGTCTGTGAAGTAGGGGTGACAAATATAAATGGAACCACGTGCAGAAAGCACTTGACGAGGTCCCTGGTACATGGTTGGTATACCACACATATTAGCTGTGATTATTTTTTATTTTGATCATCCTTGTCATCACAGAATAGAGCTTAGCTACATTCTACAGAAAGGAAACTGGTTCCAAGACATAAAGTGTTTTGTGTAATTTCACACAGCCTATAAATGATAGAACAAAGATAAGAAAGCAAGTGTCCTAAATGTGACAGGGCAAATTTTTATTACTAAAATTTCCAGCAACTCTCTGAGGAGGGTGGGTATTGGTAGCTGGAGGATTCTGAAAGTAGAAGTCAGGAGAAGCCAAACTGCTCATCAGAAAGGGTTGAGAGATCAAGTGACCTGAGGATGATTCAGAAGTGAGATGAAGGGCAAAGAAATAAAGTACGCATGGGGAGGGTCAGAGAAAGGGCAGGTGAAGGAGGAAGGGCAAGGGAGAAAGAGAATATGTTCGAAGGGATTTGAGCAATTTGCTCCCGTACACAATGTAAACTCCCTCTTCCTTCGACCTTCAGAATCATCATGAAAATCTAGACTACATATAAATGCATGTGTGTCTACAGACTGTAAAAAAGAGCTAATCCCTATATAAACATGGTAAGCGGGGGCAACAGTGCATACAAGGGCAGCCCCATCTAGGCATCTCAGGGGAAAACGATGGGCCCCATGCTGTATGTTGGGTGAGAGAAAGGAAAGGTGTTTGGGAATTTGGTTGTATTTATTAGGGGTGGCTGAAGGCAAAAAGAGAGAGTGGGGGAGAAAAATCACCCAATTCTGCGCCGATCTGAGAAAATCTGAGAAACAGTTTTGGTTTCCAGGATACCATTCTTAGTATAACCAGCTTATAATGTGGTTGTGGATCATTCGTTCACAAAGCTGTCCAGCCAACCTGCCCCAGTGACTAGAAGAGAATCACACAGGCACACACTCCCTGATAATCTTTGGAGGAACATGGATGGTTTAGAAAGGAGGATGACAGAGGTAGAATTGGAGAATTTTCATGATTGTTCCTACTTGGTTTTCACCATCCTAATTATAAGTAAGCCAGGGATTTCCTTATGGCTCACTGGAAGATCATGAAATACTCTTAGTTCTGTCCTTTGCTTTTTGCCAAAAATATAACTGATACAAAACAGAATCTGTATTAGCTGCATGTTTGCTGAGGTTCAAATGCTTAGATTATTGTGTTTTAAAATCATATTTGCTAAGATATTGTTTGCTTTCATGTCTCTTGGCCTGGGCATAGCAATAATTGCTTCCACCTGCTGGTAGAAGGTAGCAAGAGAGATGGAGAGAAGAGGCAAGAGCAGGGAGGAGAGTGGAGGCCGTCAGGAAATAAAACTAGATTAAGGAAGCTGATCTCACTTCTTAGGAGACTGAAAAAAATACATCTGTGTCATTCTCCTCTGGAAAAGGCAGTCTCCTGGGTGCTCCATTTATCCTCCCTTCCTTACCTAGGCCTCCCCATCCCCATTCAAAATGTACCATATACAAAGCTAGGTGGGGTGGGAGAAAGATAAATGAAGTCGAACGATCTGGATGTTTGTTCCATTATCTTCTCCTATCCATTAATTATGGGATTGTAAATGGAACCCTTCCTCTCACCTATGAAATAAGGCTATGAGTTTTTTCTTTTTTTTTTTTTTTTTTTTTTTTTTGAGATGAAGTCTCACTCTGTTGCCCAGGCTGTAGTGCAGTGGTACCATCTCGGCTCACTGCAACCTCCACCTCCCGGGTTCAAGTGATTCTTCTGCCTCAGCCTCCTGAGTAGCTAGGGTTACAGGAGCACACCACCACACCCAGCTAATTTTTTTTGTATTTTTAGTAGAGACGGGGTTTCATCGTGTTGGCCAGCCTGGTCTTGAACTCCTGACCTCAGGTGATCTGCCCTCCTTGGCCTCCCAAAGTTCTGGGATTACCAGCGTGAGCCGCCATGCCCAGCCAAGGCTATGAGTATTTCAATGAGTTTTGTCAACGACATAATGCAAGTACTCCGTATGTTTCTGTGAATATCCATTAGCATGCATAGACAAAAGTCCCAGATTTGTCTTTAGAACATTTGACTTTAAACCGTTCACCTAAGTGTGGTGTCAGATTCATCCAAGAAGCATGCATGTTTGTCTTCCTTTGGAGACAAGTTATTTCAACCACTGGCCTGACAGCAGTCACGGCACAGCCAGCCTTGGATGGCCAGGGCAGAGGCATGTGAAAACAGTCTTGGTCAGGAATTCAGCAAGATCCTGACTTGCCCACAGAATCTCAAAAGCCGGTAGTGGAAAATGACCTGAGCAGGCACACCAGCCTCCCCTTGCTCACACTCTAAGTTTTGCTATTTATGAGTATGTTTCAATTCCAGATGTGGCCTGGAGAAGAATGCTGTGTGGCAGGAGTCTGCTCTGTGACGTTTCCATTTACTACGACTGGTGCGTGTTAATTTGCCAAGTTGATGCAGGTAGAAATGGCAATGGGACTTCCAGAAGCTACCAGAGGGGTCAGCAAACTATGGTCTGTGGGTAAAATATGTTCCACGCCTGTTTTGGGAAGGCTCACAAATGGAAAATAATTTGACCATTATCAAATGACTGAAAAATTCAAAAGAAGAATAACATTCCATGATATGTGAAAATTATATGAAATCAAAATGTGGTATCTATAAATAAAGATTTATTGGAACACAGCCCCACTCATTTGTTGATACATTGCTACAACAGCAGAGCTAAGTGATTGCTACAGGGACCATATGGCCCATAAAGCCTAAAATTTTTACCGTCTATCCCTTTACAGAAAACATTTGCTGGCCCCTGAACTACAGCACGTTACTGTGCAAAGGCTACAAGTCCACTTACCTCCCAGTGTGAGGCAACACCAAACTCCCTTTCATTCCAGCCTGACCCAACTCCTTAGTCTCCTACAAACTCATCGCCTCATTCCTGCCTATTTTCTAAATGTATTTATAACTGTCTTCATGCCATCTCCCTGTTCAAAAGCCTTCTAAATACAATTGGCCCTCCACATCTGTGGGTTCTGCACTGTGGATTCAACTATGAATAGAAAATATTCAAAAATATTGCGTGTATACAGATCATGTATAGTATTCTTGTCATTATTCCCTAAACAATACAGTATAACAACTATTTCCGTAGCATTTATACTGTATTAAGTATTATAAGTAATCTAGAGATGATTTAAAGCATAAGGGAGGATGTACGTAGGTTACATGCAGATACTGTGCCATTTATATCAGGGACTTGAGCATCCATGGATTTTGGCATTCGTGAGAGGCTTGGAACCAATCCCCCACAGATACTGAGGGATGACTGTACTTATATAATCAGACAAAAACGTATTTTTAATACACCAATATTTCTCTGTCATTCATAGAACAAAGTCACAATAGTTGTGATATGCATACCAGGGCATTCACACCTAGCCTCCACTTGCCCATCACTTGGTAAGCAAGCCTCCTGAAGCTCCGCTCCCCACACTGTGCAATGTCCTTCATCTTCATCTACTCAGCAACTCCCCTCCTGCCTCTAGCATACAGCTTAAGACCCCCTCCCCTTTCTTACAACCTTAATCAGAAGATCATGTTTTGGTCACCAGTTTTTTCCCCAGAGCACATACTTTTTAATAAACTTCTACAGTGAGACGTATCACACTACATTGAAATTATTTACCTGCATGCCTAGCCTGATCCACCATCTCCAACAGCGAGTGGTCTACACAAGGTTAGAAACCACATTTTCTGCATCTTTATGACTCCAGTCCTTGGCATGAGGAAAGATCATAAGATGGATTCATAGAATTTAATAATAATAATACTTTTGATTAGTCTGATTGTCATTTCCAGCTCAGTGGTTTAAATCACAGTTTTAACATTAAAAAAAGTAGCCATAGACATAAATGTGCCTTTACAGATTCATCCTGAGTGGCTCTGAGTCTTTGATAAGCCACTTAACTTTTCTGAGATGCAAATTCCTCATATGTTAAAAGATAAGGAGGAGACCCACTTGAACGACTTTAGCTGCTTCATGGGTGAGGGTGATAAGCAATCCTAAAAATAACAATCAGCATGAATTTTCTAAGATCATACATTCACATTTCTAAAAAACACTAGTTGAAAAAGTACTTTCATAAACAAGGTATTTTATACTGGCAAAAAAATGAGGCCTAAATAACATAATATCAGTAAAAGCTCTTTATAAGTTGTAAAGCATACATGTGAAATAATGTGGCTTTTAGTTTTATTATAATAACCACCTGGCATAGCTCAAAAGATCACAGCCTAGCCTGGCAGATAGAAGAGCCTGTTTCCAGGGCTCATCATGCATTGAAGAGTAGAAGGTAATTTTATTTTCATGATAATGATACTGCCTTCTGGCTTCCTCTAGTTCAGCTTTTTTATGAGGAAATAAAACATCTTACAAGTGCGTGGAACTTAGACTTTTAAAACACTTCCACATCCATTATCTCTTTTAATCCTCAAGACCATCCCCACTTTGCAGATCGCAAATCCATTCTTCAGAGCCAGGGGTGACTTGCCTTAGACCTTCCAGCAAGTGAGAGGGAGTTGGACTTCAAATTGAGGTCCTCAGGCTGCAAATTTTCTGTCTTTCCATCATACCAAAAGCCCATAGCTTTAGAGTATTTGAGATCATTCTAATGTCTTTAGAGGTTAAGAAGCTGAGACCAAGAGATTCCAAACGATCTAAGATTACACAATTAAGGAGAATGTTAGGAACCCAGAATGCCCCACTTGCCCCAGTCCCTAGATGATTATATATCATATTTTGTGATATCCAGCCTCAAAGATGGCCCCCAGTGGCCCCAACCTGCCACTATTCACACTCTTGTGTAATTTCCTCTCACACTGAAGTGGGCTGACTTGTATAACCAACAGGATATTGTGGCAATGACAATGTGTGACTTCTGAGGCTAGTTGTCTTACTCCCTTGAAAGATGTGCTTTGAGGGAAGGCAGACATACGGTTGTGAGGACACTCGAGACACTCCAAAGGGCTCTTCAGTGTCCAGGGAACAGAGACATCTTGCCAAGAGACAGTACCACCTTGCCAGCTACATGAGTCAGCAAGGGATCCTCCAGTCCCATTAGAAATCCCATTTAAACCTTCAGAGATTGCAGTCCCTGCCAACATCTTGACTGTAACTCTGTGACAGACCCCAAGCCAGAACCACCCGGCTAAATCACTCCTGAACCACTAAGCTGAATCACTCCTGAATTCCTGACACACAGAAACTGTGTCATAATCAGCATTGGTTGATGTTTAAGTCACTTAGTTTTTGAGGTGATTTGTTATGCAACAATAAATAACTAACATATTTTCTGTTATGGCCAGTAGGCTCTCCAAGATGTATGTACATTCTCCTTTCTTCTGCTGATTTCAGGCTTCTTTCCCTAAATATAGTCACAAATCCACTTGTCATCAGTTCCCTAAACTCATTGCCAAGGATAATAATCAAATGAGAGAAGTTACTTCAATAATCTGATTCACTATGGTCTTCACCCAGCTGCCCCGAAGTTTTCCATCTTGTCCCAAAGCAATTTCCTCACCATATACTGATGTCGAAAGCCTGAGATAAGGTTTGACTAGGTGGTGTGAATGTCACAGGCTCTATATCTGGTCTGTCTTCTAAGGAACTCCTAATAAGATCTAAGATACATCTGGTTGAAAAATTGAATCTAGAAATGATGGGATCATGGAACTCAATTATACTCTTGTTCATTTAATCCAGATTCCATGTTTCTCTCTTTAAATCCTTCTACCATTCTCCTGTCCTATATGATTTAACATTCTCATTACTGAGAAACCAAAACCATAGAAACTGGTTAACTATAAATGTGCTCATCCTTTTTAGAAATAATGTATCTATAAATCAGAATCCTTTATTTTTCAAAAAATAAATTGTAAAACCACAAGTCCTGCCCCCCATCCCGACCCCGCCAAAGACTAGTCCATTTATGCAACTCCCTGGACCAAAAGGAATAAGGGGTGAAAATCCTGAACTCATCCCATGCCTGCCCTAGGAAAACCCATGATACCTGTCAAGAGGAAGGGAACAAGATGCCAGCCAGCCTATCAGGGAATTGCTTTCCATCCAGGCTTCATGGCCAGGAGCAAACATCATCAAGCTCTTTGCAGTGGAGATGAAGGAGAAGAGGGGCCAGCAACACCCTCCAGGAGACACTCCAGGATGCCGAGGGAAAACAGACATCACTCCCTCCAAGGCACAATCAAGAACCACTGCAGTAGTCAAGGGGGAGCCAGGAATTTAGGCAGGTCCCATCCTATCTAGGGTGGACCAACATATATGCCATGGCAAGGGAACATCTGGAAGTCTGAAAATAACCAGAACAGAGAAAGAGAAGAGAAGGAACAGAGAAGGTTATGAGCATATATCATCCATCTATGGTGGGCCAGGTACTCTGCTGAGTGATAGATACTTAGCATCTTATTTAAGTCTCCCAACTGCATGGTGGTTAAAAGCATCCGCTTTGGTGGGAGCCTAGCTTCAAACCCTCTTTCTGGTTGTATGATATTGAGCAAGCCATTTGACCTCTCTGAGCCTCAGTTTCCTTCCATGTAAAGCAGGGTAGTGATTAGTATTGCCAGGAGACAGAGTTTACAAAATGAGTATCTTTAGTATCATAATGAGGAAGAAATGAGATAATTGCAAGTGCTTCTCAAACTGTCCAGAGCATACAAATTACTCAGAGAATTCGATTAAATGCATATTCTTGTTCATTTAATCAGAATCTCTAAGTAATTTGGAGTGTGGCCTGAGAGTCTACATTTCTTGCAAGCATCCAGGAAACACTGATGCTGCTGGCCCAAGGACCACATTTTGGGTAGTAAGGATATAAAAGACTCATAACCTTCAGTGATTATTATCGGCGTTAATATGTTAACATGATCTCCCTAGCAAAAGCAGCAGAGCTAGTGAGTGGCAGAGCCAGGGTACAAATTCAGGACTAACTCTCCTCCTCTTCCTCCATCCTTATTTACCTCTCAAAAGGAGCCAAATATGTTTGGAATAGAGATAAGCAATGCTTTCATGAAGCCATTTCTTCAGTTATCTACCTGCCCAGTGACTTCCTGTGATATTTCAACCCTGACATCTCAAAGTCTCCAAAAGTCCAGCAGAGACATGGATTCACTGCATCTCCCACCATATTATCTCATACTGAGGACTTGCTGGGTCACCCAGAAAACTTCTGTCAGCAAAGACAGACTCAATCAAAAATGAAAATTGAGGCTTAACTCAGCCTGAAGATGAAGGTGATTAACTAGGAGATGGGAGGTTAACCCCCTGGGCCACATCTCAGGGACAAGAAGGGGCTGACTGTTCCATGTTCATTAGAACTAATTAAGCACTGTCTGCCCTGGGAATCACAGGGAGGAAGTTCTCTTCTAAGATTGAACAGGCCCAGAGACATGGGCATGGGGCTTAACTCTCATTGCCTCTCAGTGGAGGTTGGACCTGAATAAGCAGATATTTGGCTTTAGAGAGGGTATGATATGGTTCCCAAGATGAGTCTGACATTATTGTTTTATACTTATGGTGCTTTTGAGACAAGAGTGCTTTGCATTTTTAAATTAGTTTATCTTAAAAATGCCAGTAGTCATGGGAAAAGAAAGGAGAGACCATTCTGAGAAAGAGAAAGAAGTGAGCAATCATCACATCCAAAACCCTGACGTCAGACACTTTAGAAATTGTGTGCATTGGAGCTGGGTGTTGCTGCAGATACATTGGCAGCTAGTTGTGAAGGTTTGAGGCCAAGTGATGTACTTGCAAGCACAGCTAGTTTCAAACTGCACCAATAATAGTTATGACTGAAAACAGGTGCTATTCTGTCCCAGCACTGTGTTAAGCACTATAAACACATTGTCACAGTAATCTCTCCAATAATCTTATGGAAGATGGCTCTGCTCTCCCTTTTTTTAACCAATAATTGGAACGATGTTACTTCCCTAAGTTTTCAGAGGCAGAGGCAATGCTACATAAAAATATGCTTGTTTACATGAATTAAATCATTTGGTAGAAACAAGAGATTCAGCCACTAATCAGAGCACAGAATTTGAGAGAGAATATAGGACAAAAGAGAACAGAAGGGTCTTGTTGTTATTGGCCAACATCAAAGCACTATCACCCCGTCTTTTTTAGTTATGCAAACCACTCAACAGAATACCTGTGAGCTTTACTTTTGGGCAGTATGCTGGGAGCTCAAACCACTTCTTGATGTGGCTGACATTCCTTAACAATGGGTCTCTCTTGCGTCCAATTATATGGCCACACCCATTTGGGGAAGACAGTGATGATGTGATGGAGTACTCACAGGGTGTGGCATCACAAAGCCTGAGTTTGCATTCAGCTAATAAATGTGCCCAGGGACAAGGACTTCATGACTAAAACACCAAAATCAATGGTAACAAAAGCCAAAATAGACAAACGGGATCGAATTAAACTAAAGAGCTTCTGCACAGCGAAAGAAACCACCATCAGAGTGAACAGGCAACCTACAGAATGAGAGAAAATTTTTACAATCTACCCATCTGACAAAGGGCTAATATCCAGAATCTACAAAGAACTTAAACAAATTTACAAGAATAAATCAAACAACCCCATAAAAAGTGGGCGAAGTATATGAACAAACACTTCTCAAAAGAAGACATTTATGCAGCCAACAGACACGCGAAAAAATGCTCATCATCACCGTCCGTCAGAGAAATGCAAATCAAAACCACAATGAGATACCATCTCACACCAGTTAGAATGGCGATCATTAAAAAGTCGGCAAACAACAGGTGATGCAGAGGATGTGGAGAAATAGGAACACTTTTACACTGTTGGTGGGACTGTAAACTAGTTCAACCACTGTGGAAGATTCCTCAAGGATCTAGAACTAGAAATACCGTTTGACCCAGCAATCCCATTACTGGGTATATACCCAAAGGATTATAAATCATGCTGCTATAAAGACACATGCACACGTATGTTTATTGTGGCACTATTCACCATACCAAAGACTTGGAAGCAACCCAAATGTCCATCAGTGATAGACTGGATTAAGAAAATGTGGCACATAAACACCATGGAATACTATGCAGCCATGAAAAAGGATGAGTTCATGTCCTTTGTAGGGATGTGGATGAAGCTGCAAACCATCATTCTGAGCAAACTATCACAAGGACAGAAAAACAAACACCACATATTCTCGCTCATAGGTGGGAATTGAACAATGAGAACATTTGAACACAGGGTGGGGAACATTAAACACCGGGGCCTGTCATGAGGTGGGGGAGGTGGGTGGGAAGCATTAGGAGAAATACCTAATGTAAATGACGAGTTAATGGGTGCAGCACACCAACATGGCACATGTATACATGTGTAACAAACCTGCATGTTGTGCACATGTACCCCAGAACTTAAAGTATAATGAAAAAATAAAAATAAAGAAATAAATGTGCCCAGGGAACTTAGGGAAAGCAATTAACTTTTCTGATGCTGTATCCTCTTCTATAAAATAGGGCGAATGCTACTTACTTTATAGGACTCATAACCTTCAGTGATTATTATTGGCGTTAATATGTTAACATGATCTCCCTAGCAAGAGCAGTAGAGCTGGTAAGTGGCAGAGCCAGGGTACAAATTCAGGACTAACTCTCCTCCTCTTCATCCATCCCTATTTACCTCTCAAAAGAAGCCAGATATGCTTGGAACATGGATAAGCAATGCCTTCATGGAGTCATATCTCCAGTTATCTACCAGCCCAGTGACCTCCTGTGTGACATTTCAACCCTGACATCTCAAAGTCTCCAGAAAGCAATTCCAGCAGAGACGTGATTGATTCACTGCATCCTCCATCACATTATCTCATACTGAGGACTGTCTGGGTCACCCAGAAAACTTCTATCAGCAAAGACAGATTCAATCAAAAATGAAAACTGAGGCTTAATTCAGCCTGAGGATGAAAATGCACAAACAAAATAATACTTGTGAAAATTACTTTACCGTGCTGTGCAAATATTAGGTGTTGTCCTGAGAGGGAAATAACTCTTTATTCTTTCCCCCAGAGAAATTCCCAGCCTCAAGTAGTGTTTAGTTTTTAGCTCTTATTCAAAAAAATTGCAAATAATGCATGAATCATCAGAGCATTTGCTTTCTGCAGGGTCATTTTTTTCTGTTTCTCCTCTTTCCACTGGCAATGAGGCCTTTTGAAGACTGGCAATTTCCTGATCAGTTGGTTCACTCCTTCATGCCCAGTCAGAAGTTCTTTAGAAAGCAGTGAAACGTGTCTTCTTTCAGTACCTTGAGAAAGGAAAGCTGACATGAGATAACTCAAAATCACAGGCAACTCACTTAACACTTTTATGTCTGGCTTTTGATCATATGCTCACCCTCAAAAATCTCAGAAGCAAACAAAGCACATACTTCTGCACACGTGCACACAAGATACGCACCCTCAGTGTGATGAGAAATTCCTGCCCTACCCCATGCTTCCTGTTAAAGCAAGATTCTGTCACTAACAGCTGGAGAACAAATGTTACAAACAGAAGGCAAGGGGTTGGAGGGGACATTTACCTATGGTCATAGAACCAAAGCCTCACCGAGTAAGCAAAAGCAGAGTTAAGAATGGACTGAAATGTTATCAATGTAAGAGAAGGACTTTTTCTTTTTTTTTTAATTTCATTTTATTATTATTATACTTTAAGCTTTAGGGTACATGTGCACAACGTGCAGGACCAACCCAAATGTCCAATGATGATAGACTGGATTAAGAAAATGTGGCACACATACATCATGGAATACTATGCAGCCATAAAAAATGATGAGTTCATGTCCTTTGTAGGGACATGGATGAAGCTGGAAACCATCATTCTCAGCAAACTATCGCAAGGAGAAGGACTTTTTAAACACTGTGACTTCCCCCACCCTTCCATTGCTAATGTGGTCTTACCTCTGGGAGTACTGATCTCTGCATTCTCAGGAAAAGGCTGTAAAAGCCATTTGCAGGTAAGTTTTCAGAGAAGATGGGAATGTTCACTTCCAGGGTGAATTCTCTGGAACTTTTCCATTTGTCTTGTTCCCACAGAAGAAAACCAAGTAAGGCAAACATGAAACTTGCTTCTACACATGGTTTCTATTTTCTCCCAAGTTGGTAATTAATTTCTCCCTCTTGTTTTATTTCTACTTCCACTCCTGTTTTCTTTATATTTTATTTTACTTTTATTTTTGTGGGTACATAGCAGGTATACATATTCATGGGGTACATGAGATGTTTTGATATAGGCATGCAATGTGACATACTCTCCTTATTCTTGACTCTTTTCTTTCCATTTTTTTCAATTCTTATTTAGAGGGGAAAAATGGTGAAATAATTTAAGAAAGCAAAAACAAAGAATAATTTAAGAAAAGGAAGTCTGCTGTTTTGAAAAAACACCAGAGGCACAGAGTTTTGAATCCTAAATCCTTATCCGAGGAGCTTCTTTGAAGAGTGTATCCAACTTCTCATCTTCCTCTTCTGCTATTAATTTTGATTTGAAGAGAAAATACAAAAATTAGCCAGGCGTGGTGGCAGGCACCTGTAATCCCAGCTATTCAGGAGGCTGAGGCAGAAGAATCGCTTGAACCCAAGAGGTGGAGGTTGCAGTGAGCCGAGATTGTGCCACTGCACTCCAGCCTGGGTGACAGAGTGAGACTCTGTCTGAAAAAAAAAAATCCTTTTTCAACTGAATGTTTTATGGACTGTGAACAACCTCATAAAGTAAATGTATTTGCCCCTGTCTTTTCTCATCTGCAGAGACTAGCGTTTGGATCTGTGGTAGCTTAAAACAAAGCACATGATGAGAAGGCTCATCCATCACAGCGGCAAGGACTAAAGGAAAGTTTCAAAGAACTGGGCACCATTCAGCTTTGTTGGCAAGGGGTGAATATGATGATAAAAGCTTGTTGTTGTCCTAGCCTTCACTAGTGATTGTGGAGATCACAGAGTCACGGGGAGTCCTGGGGCTGCTGAGGGAGGCGAAGGGGCTTATGGGGAAATGAGAATCGAGTGATTGGAGCAGACAGGAGAGGTACGTGTGCTGGCAGCTGTTTGGAGCATCAGTCTCCAGACCGGCTTGGCCCATTTCCTTGGTTTGTCATTGAACTTTGCTCATGACTGAAACAGGCACAGAGATACTGAGAAAAGTCCAAGGTGAAGAAACACCAGGTTTGCCATTTCTTGCCTAGATCTTGTAGCTAATGGAAGGAAAAACATAAGAAAATTTACTTTTTAAATGGTAATTTTATTTTATAAATAAAATGCTATCTAAATTGGAAGAGTCATACTTCTCTCACATTAGAACCCTTATTTTCCATTTTTCATTAAGAAATATTTCAGATAGGTAAAACGCTTCTGTCCTAACCCCATTATATTCCCTTCCCTTTCTACATTCTCCAAGACAAAGAGTCCATGTTGGTTTTGCCCACCAATGTTTCTCCTTATCATTTAGTCACACAGATAGATAGATATCATTAATATAAATACATATATATGTGCTAAACAATACCTAGTATTATTTTGCATCCTCTTAACTTTTTAAAAATGTACATATTTCTTTCTGCATCTGATATTTATCCATATGGAGGTAACGGTCCTAATTTAATTCAGCTGCCATTCAATAATCCGTGTTATGAATCTGCCACAATTATGGATCAATTCTCCCGTTGGCAGATATTTAAGTTGTCTCCAATTCTGCACAATTGTAATACTGGTGCAGTAAACATCCATGAACATCCTTGGATTTGTGTATACACATGAAAATGTCGTGACGTGCTTTTAATAAAACAGTACACCTTAGAGATTTTTTGTGCTGATACATGTTGTTATAGCTCATTCTTTTAACATGTGAACAGTATTCTAGCTTGAAAAAGAACTAAAATATATTGAACCAAGTTTCTTGCTGGACATTTAGATTGCCCCTCCCTTGGTTTTGTGTTGCTAGCAACAGGCTCACAGATGTCCTTGGACACATGTGAGTTTCTCCAGAGTGTGTACCTAAAATCATGACTGCTCAATGAAAGGGTGGGTCTGTCTCCAACTTTCCACACACTGCCTAACTGCTCTCCCGCTGACAGAGCGATTTGCACACCCACCAGCACTGCATGGGGAACTCCATTGTTCTACTGCCTCACAGTCTGTCAATATGGTCAGTCTTACATATGCTTTTGCAAATTGATGGATTTCAAATGATATCTCATATTTATTTTCACTTGCATGATTCCTCATAAAATTGAGCATCGTTTCATATATTTATTGACCATTTGGCTTTTATTTTCCATCAATTGTGTGCCTGTAGCCTTTGTTTCCTTTTTTTCTGGGTGACCATTAGGAGGATCTGTTTCCAATCATTTCCAGTCTTTTTTTTTAATTCTTTTTTAGGCAGAGTCTCGCTTTGTTGTCCAGGCTGGAGTGCAGTGGCACAATCTCAGCTCACTGCAACCTCTGCCTCCCAGGTTCACGCAATTCTCCTGCCTCAACCCCCTGAGTACCTGGGATTACAGGCACGCCCTATCACACCCGGCTAATTTTTGTATTTTTAATAGAGACAGGGTTTTGCCATGTTGGCCAGGCTGGTCTCAAACTCCTGACCTCAGGTGATCCACCCACCTCGGCCTCCCAAATTGCTGCAATTACATGCATGAGCCACTGCACCCAGCCCCATATTCTATTTATTTTAGGAGAGGACAGTCCATTGAACGTTTAACTAATGAAAGTCTAATATGCAAATAATAAATTGTCTAGCAAGTAAGATAACTTTTAAAACCCAGTAAATAAATAAAATGAATTTATGCCTGCTTCTCAAAGCTTTGGAGACTCCACCATGATGACTATACTATAGGTGACAGCTATCCCCAAAGGACGTGGACTCAGCTTGCAGAGGGAATCCAGCACTGCTTCATGACCCCTTAGCTAAGGGAAGAAGGAAGGAACTGACATTAGTAAATATTGACCTTCAACCGGCGTTTAACGGATATCACCTCATTTAATCCTTGCAACGAAACTGTAAAATAGGTATTATTTCCCTTTCCCTCTTTGAGGATGAGGAAATGCAGACTCAAAGAGATTAAATGTCTAGCCTGAGGTCAAGGAGCTTGAAATTAACAGAGCCAGAATGTGGAGGTTTGTCTGTCACCAAAACACAGGCACTTTCTACCACACAAGAGAATCACAATTCTTACGGATAAAGTAGTTTGAAGAGAAGATTCATATTTGGGGAAGTTTATAAACCTTAACAGGAATAGGCCGGGGGTGGTGGCTCACGCCTATAATCCCAGCACTTTGGGAGGCAGAAGCAGGCAGATCACCTGAGGCCAGGAGTTCAAGATCAGCCTGGCCAAAATGGCAAAACCCTATCTCTACTAAAAATGCAAAAAAAGCAGCTGGGTGTGGTAGCACATGCCTGTAATCCCAGCTACTCAGGAGGCTGAGGCAGGAGAATCACTTGAACCCGGGAGGCAGAGGTTGCAGTGAACCGAGATCGCACCATTGACTCCAGCCTGGGCGACAGAGAGGGACTCCATCTAAAAAAAAAAAAAAAAAGCTAGCCATTCTTTTGGAAATAATTATTTGTGGAGCTCAGGATTCTGTTCAATCTCTTCTGAAACCTAAGCGGTAGGGATCTTAGAGGTACACTTCCTTCCCTCCACATCTCCAGGAGGAAACTGTGGCCATCAACTGTGCATGCTTCAGATAACTTATATGCATTCTATTCTTCTTTTTCCCTTAGACTACTTGTTCTCCTGCTAAGAAAAGAGTGGTTATTTTTTCAGGAAGCAATATCAGTTGCTTCCTCAGGGGGCTGATGATTGATAAGGCATGGTAAGAGGCAGAGATAAATCAGGATTTGAGAGAATATAAAACACATTTTAGTTTCAAAGTCCTAGAATTTATTCTGAAAATGTTTTAATGAAACACATTCAATGAATATATTACACATTTATGTTACTGATGCTTTATTTCCCAATTATAATTGTCATGTAATTACAGAAGTAAACCACACTGAGCCCTGACAATAGGCAGTTGTGGGAGTCTGCAGGCATATCTAAGATGGTTTTCATAGCTCTTAAGATGTCTTGAATCCAGGAAGTCTGTCCATGAGTTTTAGGGGCAAGGCACTTTATTTTTTTAACTTAATGGGGAGATGGCCAAGGCCCTCCGTATTGTACATGGTCAGCTTGAAGTGATTTCAGCCAAAGCTCTGCTGGACAGTTCCCACTGCACCCTCTTTCCTTTCACACACTTTCCTCCACTTTCTGCCTTAAATGGTTTCTGAAGCCGAGGCAGCCTGCTCAGCCTCTGTGCAGAGCCAGGAACGTAAGAGGGTTAATGCCTCTGGAAGTAACTCTCCTCCAATAGAGGAGTCAGTCAAGTAGATAAATGCCCCAGTCTCTGGGGCTTCAAAGGGAAAATTTAAAGGGTGCTCTACTTCACATTTGCCAAAAGAAGTACCCAGTTCAACAATGCACCTTTTCCTGGCTTTTCTTCCTTTCCTCCCTCTCTCTCCTCACTCTCTTAATTCTGCCTCCCGGGAGCACCTCCCAAATAAATTACTTATACCCAAATCCTTTTCTCAGGTTGTTTTTGGAAAAACTTAAAGAAATACCCCCCGCCAAGTTCTCACAGATACACATGCATTGTTTTAAATATTAGTTTTTCTTCCAGGAAGCCTTCTCTGACCTCTTCTAAGTATAAAAAAGTAAGTAAACTTCTCTTTTATTACACTATATTTTTATTGGCTGTTTATCCATATCCCTCACTAGACTGTGAGCTTCTTAAAAAAGATAGGGTCTGTACGCCATTATGTGCCTGGTTCTAGCACAACATCTGGTCATGGCAAGCACTCAGTAAATATCTCAGGAACAAATAGAAACAATATGTGTAGATATTGGGCTAGGTATTTGTCAGTCACATACCAATATGAACAATAATAGAAACAATATGTGTAGATATTGGGCTAGGTATTTGTCAGTCACATACCAATATGAACAATACTCCCAGCATTCCCCCTGGTCAAGAGAATTCGGGGTACTGAAAAAAGACAGGAAAACAGACAGATTGCAAAGCAACATGTTTTGAGCTCCAGTGAAGGCATGCAGTCAGCATTGCCTAAGTTCTGTCTTTACGGCCAGGAAAAGGCTCTCTGAAAAGATATCCGAGCAAAAATCTGAAAAAAACTGGTATATCATAATTTAAAAAAAAAAATGGCCAGGCACAGTGGCTCACACCTGTAATCTCAGCACTTTGGGGGGCCAAGGAGGATGGATCACCTGAGGTCAGGAGGTCAAGACCAGCCTGGCCAAAATGGCAAAACCCTGTCTCTACTACAAATACAAAAAAAAAAAATTAGCCAGGCATGATGGCACATGCCTGTAGTCCCAGCTACTTGGGAGGCTGAGGGAGGAGAAATTGCTTGAACCTGCAAGGTGGAGGTTGCAGTGAGCCAAGGTTGCACCACTGCACTCCAGCCTGGATGACAGAGCAAGACTCTGTCTCAAAAAAAATAAAATAAAACAAAATTAAATTAAATTAAAAAATTTTTAAAGAATTTATAAAAATTATTAAAATAAAATAGACAACTCACATTTATTAAGCCCTTCTTTAGTGTCTGGTACTTGTACAAAGGAATTTTGGGGCATCATTTTATTTAATCTCCATATGAAGATACCGAGCAGTCTCATTTCCCAGATGCAGAGATTGAGGCTTGTAAGGTTAATAATTTGCCTGGATTTGCACAGCTAGCAAGAGGTAAAACCAGGATTCCAGTTTCTCCAATGACCAGACTCTTAACTCAGCATTTACTATAATAAAGTTTCCTAGTCTAATGAAAAAAGAGTCAAATCATGGCTTATTCTCCATGTGTCATGAATTATCACATGAAACCAACAACAGCAAGAACAAAGAAAACCTCAAGAAAAAGGGATATGGTGTCATCCCTTGAGGAGTGGCAAATACTTCCACATCTTCCCACTCCAGCCCCATGCTTGCTCCACCCCAAAGCTCACATTCATTCTCCTGCAGCTGGGGGGTTATAGGGTCTGTCTCTCTCTCTCTAATTAGAATTGTGCTCCAGCCTCCTTCCTCACCCTCTCAATTCTTTTGAACGTTCTTTAAAAAGAAAAATAAATTATGGTTCTCCTTAAAATCACCTCTTGGTTCTTCAAGTGCTTCTCAGACATTTTAAATCAGTCCTCAGAACCTCTCAGGAGTGTATGTGTGCACAACACACACACACACACAGAGAAGCACCAAAGAAAGAACTCCCAGAATTGCCTGAGTTATACACGTAAAAGGTGATTTGGAAACACTATTCAGTAACTAGGTTATTTTAAGACTCTACTTTCATGTCAAGTTTCCTCTCAACATCTGATAAACTCTGCGGTAGAAACAGATTTTTAAAGTTGTTTTATTCTCAGTAGAATGAGAGTTGCTTTGGCAATTTCCCCAAAATTAGTGAAGTTTCTCAGACAGTGCCTTACCATGATCTATTATTTAAGTCATTTTATAAAGGCAAGAGAAAGAAAGGATTAAGGCAAGAAAGAGAGAGAGAAAGAGGGAAAGAAAAAGAAGGAAAGGAGGAGAGGAAGGAAGGAAAAAAGGTAGGTAAGACAGAAGGAAGGAGCAAAGAAAGAGAAGGAAGAGAGGGGTGGACGGAAGAGAAGGAAGGAAAAAAGAGATGCATCTCTTCTAACAGGAATAAATTAGCTGCTGAATAAATAAACATAAATGGTAATGAAATAAAATTCATTTTCCAGGTTTCTTTTCCATGAAAGAAAAAGAGGAAGCGTCTTGCATTACCTCTGCTCTGCAGGACACCAGATAGAAGGGAAAATATCAGAAGAGAAAAAATATATTCGCTCATATTTGAAATGCAGCATGGATAGATTTTTTAAATTGAGATCTTCTAATGGCCTAGAAACAGCATAATTGATTAAGTAAGGTGATTGGGATGAAATCAGTAACTTTACTACACATTCTTTAAAGGAACTGGCCCAGGCTCTAATAGTGGAGTATCGTTGCCATATCAAAGGTCTGTTAATAAGATCCTTGAATGAGAATTGGGCATTGAGTTGGTTTAGCTGAAGACTGTTAGAAACTCTTCCAGTAAGATCCTAATACCCACAGGATGGAAAAAGAAAAGTGACTGCCCTGCATAAAACATGACCCACGATTTATGGCACACTTTCTGGCAAAATACCAGGCAGCCCCTGAGGGGTCGACAGAGCTCTCATTCCACATTAATTGATACAAAGGGTGCTGTTTTCCAGATGACCTCACACCTAATTGAACAAGGCAGACGCCCATACCACATGTAATAGTGTTTATTGCATGCATTATGGTCATTTAGCATTTATCACCCTTTACCAGCAGCATGGATGGTTAAGAGGACTGACTTTGAAATCTGACAGACCCAACCCCTGTCAACAAATAGCTCTGTGCATTTTATGCTCTTTGAAATGGTGACAAAGAATAGTGCCTACCTAAAAAAGTTGAAGGAAACCAACACATGAAAAAGACAATATCTGGCATATGGTAAACATTCATAAATACTATGATTATTTGCATTTCCTGAAAGCATTATGGGTGGGTTTATTAACTATACTTTGCTCCTTGGGCAAATTCAGCTAATATTTTTCAAGTGCTTATTTTGTGCACAATGCTCAATTTTTTCATGTATTTTTTAAATTTCCACAGCATTTCAGTGAGGTAGGTATTATTATTCCTCTTTAAAAGCTAAGGTAACCAAAGCTAGCGTAAAATAAAATAATTTGCTCTTTATCACTTGGCAAGAACGTTGTAAAGTTTTTGATTTGAGCTCCGGTCTTCTGACTCCACAACATGGGACACTTGTTTTATGTCCTTTAACCTAAATGCATTTTTATAGCCGGTGGATATTCTATTCATTGGTGTTCTGATAAACCAACTCTCCAAAATACAAGTCCTGATTTGCCACATTTACCAGTTTCTGTGGTGTAAACACCCCAACCAGGGCCAATTTCAAACTACCGGTAACCGACTTGTAAAATTGTTCTGTACTTAACAATCCGTTCTCACTAGGTATTATATTTGAAATATGGCCACCTGCATTTCAAAGTGCCCACAAATGAGGAAGTCAAGGATTGATCCTATGCCTCTTTCTGCCTACTCTTGGCTATGCTCTTCTGCTCTCAGCCTTCTTGACCTTTTCATGCCTTGTTACGGGTACAACCTTGGAGCCTACCATGAGAGGAAGAAGCAAGTTGGAGGAGCCAGGCCTGCACCTAGGAAGAGCTAGGCTGCAAATGAGAACTAGGCAAACAGCAGAAAACAAGACAGGGTGACAAAAGCAATGACTGAGAAACATGACCAGCAACCACAGGCAAGGTTGTGTCTGATTCCAGACTCAAAGAGCAGGCCTAAGCAACTGAAGAGACACAAGTGGCTAAGTAAGGGATGATCAGATGAAACTGCCAAGGCCCAGGCTGGGAAGCAGTCAGATTGGAGCTCAACCATCTGCCCAGCCGCTTACTCACTATGCACCTGCGGCTAGTGTGTTTAAGTTACCTTTGCCTCAGTTTCCTCTCCTATAAATGGGAGCAATGGTATCTCCTGTAAAAGGTTAAAGGATATAAGAGAGTCTATCATACAGGAGTATTCAATAATATTAGGTTTTAAAAATAGATCTTATACTGGTAAGGAAACCAACTCTGCCTCAGCCAGAAGAGATTATTTTTATTTTACTTTATCCTGTTTTTAGAACTCAGGTACACAGATTTGAATTGGTCACCTTGCGCAGTACATGGTATACTCTTATCATCTGTCCATCCATGGCCCTCTTTCTAAATTATTTTCCACTTTATTTCTCACTCCAATCCCATTCTCTCCCTCTCATAAGCACCTTCACCCTCATGTTTGCATGCTTCTCATATACACATATGTTTATTCAATTACCTTTGTATCTATGGAAAATGCATAGTATGGCTTGTGGGTGAACTTTTTTTTTTTTTTTTTGAGACAGAGTCTCACTCTGCTGCCCAGGCTGGAGTGCAGTGGCACAATGTCGGCTCACTGCAACCTCCACCTGCTGGGTTCAAGCAATTCTCCTGCCTCAGCCTCCCGAGTAGCTGGGATTACAAGCACATGCCACCATGCCTGGCTAATTTTCATATTTTTTTAGTAGAGATGGGGTTTCACCATGTTGGTCAGGCTGGTCTCGAACTCCTGACCTTGTGACCCACCTGCCTCGGTCTCCCAAAGCGCTGGGATTACTGGTGTGAGCCACCGCGCCAGGCCTGAACTTTTTAAATTTACATAAATAGCATTATATTAGTTTGCTGGAGCTGCCGTAACAAAATACCACAGACTGAATGGCTTAAACAACAGAAATATATTTTGCCACAGTTCTGGAGGCCGGGAGTCCAAGATCAAGGTGTTGTCAGGGTTGATGTCTCCTGAGACCCCTCTCCTTGGTTCAGAAGTGGCTGCCTTCTCACTCCATCCTCACATAGTCTTTTTCTACCCATGCACACCCCTGGTGCTTCTCTGTATATTCAAATTTCCTTTTCTCATAAGGACACCAGTCGTGCTAGATAAAAATTCAATGTTTACTCCACCTTAAAGTCCTCATTTTAACTTAATTACTTTTTTAAAGACTTCATCTCCAAATATGGTTACATCCTGAGGTACTAAGGGTTAGGGATTTAACATGAGTTTGCAGGGAAGGGACAAAATGCAACTCATAAAAAGTATCATGCTATCGTAGTAGATTGCTGCAACCAACTAACCACGCACCACATTAGATGCTCACACACCCTTTGTCACTGGCTCCAGGCTTGGCGCAGAACTTGCTCTGGACAAAGGAACATTAGCAAACATAGTCCAAGAAAACAATAATATCTTGTACATTGGAGCTTTCTCTCTTTCACTGCTGACAACTTTTCCGCCACTGTGTGAGAAAGGCCAAGCTAGCCTGTTAGTTGCTGCAGGTATGAAGCCCTCCCAGACATGAATAACCAGAAGCAATAGCTAGTTGGGTGGGTAAGCCATATTAGAATACCCAGGGACCATTGTTTTAAGTGCCAACCAACCTCAGGGGCACAAGTGAGCCCAGGAGAGACCAGCAGAACTGCTTTGCTTTGCCCAGCCCAAACTATTGTGCTAATAAACAATTACTCTAAACCAATATTTTTGGGATGGTTTGTTAGGAGCAAACGATGATGATAAAGCTATAGCTATGGATATTATTCTGTTTCTTCCTTTTTGTCATTTAACATGATGTATTTGAGATGTTGCTATTTGTAGATCTGTTTCACTCCTCCTGGCTGCTATAAGGCATTCTGGTATACACACATGTCATATTTTATTTATCCATTCTTCTAGGGATGAACAGTCGGGCTTCCTCCAGGTTTTCGCTCTACAAACATTCTCATATACATGTATTTCTCTGCTGGTGTAAGAGTGTCTCTGGCAACTCTATTCAAAAGTAAAATTGCTGGGTTGCAGGGCATATGCACACTTAATTGCACTAAATATTGTCAAATTGATCTTCAGAATAGCTGTAGCAATTTACACTCCTTTTAGAAGTGAAGGAGGACTGGCCAGGGGAGTTATATATGTTTCTTATTAGAGCAGGAATTATTCCCTGATGAGTGCTAGCTTTAGTCTCGCAAGAGAAAATAAGCAGAAGTTCCTAGCTAGAATACAAAGGGCAGTGTAGAAATCAGAACCCGGGTACTGACCTACGCAGACCTTAACACTCTTCCTATCTATTTCTCTTCTTCACTAGTCTTACCTGAAACTGACATACTGTTGCAGTTTTTTTTGTTGTTGTTACTTGCCTATGATAGTTATGGTATTTCATTTTCTAGTCTTCATTTCTAACTTGAAATTTTGCGATTTTTAATATTCTAATTTGTCTATCATAAAGGAGCTAAAAAGATAATTGGGATTTACTGATAGCAGATAATTGTGTTGAAAACAATTCGTTCAAGTTATTAATGTGATTGAAAGCATCTGAAGATAAAAAATAGCTTTTGATAACACTAGAAAATAATCTAATAATAACAGGAATATATCAGGACACAGAATATATGTAAAGCAATTAAGTTATAGTGTTAACAGAAAAATATCAGAATACAAATATTATACAATGCATTCTCACAGCTGTGACGACTGCAGCATTTTCCATGAGGCTATTCGCCAATACCAACTGTTTGTACTCTGGGCCCAAGGCTTCACAGAACAAGAGTGCAGAAGGTCGGGCCCAAAACCTGCCCAAAGAGGGGATAATTACAGGAGTCCTTTCTCATTAAACATGACCCCTAAAAATAGGGGCAAACCACACCAAAACCCATCTCCTGTACCCCTACATCACAGGCATGCGTAGGCTGGAGTAGGCCAGGAAGCCTCAAGCTTCTGAGGCACTCTGGAGGGAAGCCAGAAGGCACAATCATCCTTGACCTCAGGGAATCTGAACAAATAATTTTCAAGGGCAATGACAAGCAAGTTGTCAAGCGCATAAAGAAGAAAGACAACATGAAAGAAAACAAGCAGAAGAAATAGACAGCTAAATTACACATTAATTATAAAACAACCGTAATTATTTTGTCTACAGAGATAAAAGGCAAGCTTGAAAATATTCAATGGTAGTAGGAAACAATAAAGAGTAATATGGTAGATTTGAAAAAAACAAACAGAAAATTTGGATATAAAATATATAATAAAAGTATTTAAGAGCTCAGTGGTTACATTGGACAGCAGATTTAACATAACTGAAGACAGATTAAAAGAGAAGATGACATTTTCCAGATATAATACAAAGACAGATAAGAGAGATATAAAGCCTAAAGTGATTAGATTCCCAGAAGGAGAAGAAAGAAAAAATGGAATAAATAGCATCTGAGATTTTTTTCAGAACTGATACATGAAACCAATACATATAAGCAGGCTCTGAAAATTCAAGTAGGATAAATAATAATAAATCCACATCTATATGCATATCAAATATGTGACCAAAAAATAACCAAAACCAAGAAATTTATAGAAAGAAATAAAGATAGAGTTCCCTCAAAGTACAGCAGTGAATAGATAACTGACCTCAACAACAACAATGAAAGCCAGAACACAGTAGAAAGCTATTTTCGATTAGTACAAACGTAAGATTCCATACCTGGTAAAATTATTTTTCAAAAATGACAATGTAATAAAAACTCTTCAAACAAGCTAAAATTGAAATTCATGACCAAAAGACCCTCACTGAAGGAAATTCTAAAAGATACCATTCAAGCAAAAGGAAATGATCCGAGATAGACAGCTGAGACTTAAAAGGGAATGGAGAGCAAGGAAAGTTATACACATATCTGTAAATATAAACTTAATGCCTAGTGAAACACACACACACACATGCATACACACAAACATGCATACATGAAGAGTTATAACACCATATAACAGTAATATGGGCAAGGGATAACTGATATTGAAATATTCTAAGGTGTATCATGGAGTAAAAAAATGTATTAAATTTTGATTTTTTTATGTTAGGTATGCATGTTGTCATTTCTATGGTTACTACCAACACAGTCAAGAAAAAAAAAAAACCTAAAAGAAAAATCTATTGTCTAAGTTAACAATTCTGGTACTGCTATACATATAAACAGAAATTGAACAATTAAGTAAACAGATGGCAGATGGTAGGAGCCAGGCTCCTCATTCTTGGAGCGGGAACTTACAAATAGGCAAGGGTGGAGGCTAGAATGATTGATGTGGTGATGAATTAAAGTTGGGAACATTAATAAGAATTCATGTGAAGCTTAATATAGATACCTGTGGTTACATAGTATTGATATGTATAGATATGTGTATACCAGTTAACATATACACATATTTCTTTGCTCTGTCAGCTAAACAGGCCTAAAAGAAACAATAAGCATACCTAGATCCAAAATCTTGATTTCCAATACCAATCTCCAAAAAGAAAAAAGAAAAAAAAAGAAACCAGCACTCCTTGAGGTAATGGCTGATTCTAGGATTGAGACAGGAAATATGCAAGATGAGCTTGGAGTATTTTGCAGTGCCAGAAAGGAAGGAAGTGCCTTAAAAAAATCAGACAGAGGAAGTGGAGCAAGATGGCAGAATAGAAGCCTCCAGCAACTGTCCCCGCTGAAAGAACACCAAACTGAACAATTATCCACACACAAACAAATCTTCATAAGAACCAAAAATCAGGTGAGTAATCCCTGTACCTGGTTTTAATATCATATTTAGGAAAACAATACCTGGTTTTAACATAATATCAGCTTGATATTAAAGAAATCATATTAACATCTTATGAAAAGGGTAGGAAAAACAATCACCTACACACCCCTCCCCTATCCCCCAGCAGTGACCACATGGCGTGGACAGAGAATCTGTGTACTTTGGAGAGGGAAAGCACAGTGGCTATGAGACTTTGTATTGGAACTTGGAACTCAGTGCTGTGCAGTTACAGCAGAACTCCAGGCCGAACTCAGCCAGCACCCACAGAGGGAGCATTTAGACCAGCCGCAGCCAGAGGCAAATCATCCATCCCAGCAGTTGAAACCTGAGTTCTGGCAACCCCTCCATCACAGGTTAAAGTGCTCTGGGGTCCTAAATAAATTTGAATAGCAGTCTAGGTCACAAGGTCTGTAATTCCTGAGCAAGTCCTGATGCTGTGCTGGGCTCACAGCCAGTGAACTTGGAGGGTACCCGACCTAGTGAGACACCAGGTGGGGAAGCTGGAGGGGTGCTCGTGTCACCCTTCCCCCAATCCTAGGCAGCACAGCTCACAGCTCCAGGAAAGACTCTTGCTTGAGGAGACCACAGGGGAGAATAAAGAGGAATTTGTCTTACAACTTGGATACCAGGTCAGCCACAGTAGGATAGGGTACCAGGCAGAGTTCTGGGGCCCATATTCCAGGCCCTAGCTCCCAGACAACATTTTTAGACAAACCCTGGACCAGAATGGAACCTGCTGCCTTGAAGGGAAGAAACCAGTCTGAGCAGGATTCATCACCTGCTGACTAAAGAGCCCTTGGGCCCTGGATAATCAGCAGTGATACCCAAGTAGTACTTGTTCTGGGCCTTGGGTGAGACTCAGAGCGGTGCTGGCCTCAGATATGACCCAGAACGTTCCTAGTTGTGGTGGTTATGGAGAGAGACCCCTTCTGCTAGAGGAAAGGAGTGAAAAGGGTAAAGGGGACTTTGTCTTACAGCTTGGGCACCAGCTTGACCACAGTGGGATAGAGCACCAAGTGGACTCCTGGGGTCCCCAGTTCCAGGCCTTGGTTCCTGGATGGCATTTCTGGACCTTCCCTTGGCCAGAGGGGAGCCCACTGCCCTGAAGGGAGAGATTCAGCACTGGCAACATTTACCTCAAGCTGACTGAAGTGCCCTTCCCTTGGCCTTGAGTCAACATCCGTGGTACCCAGGCAGTACTTGCCATGGGCCTGGACAGTGGTGGCCATGGAGAGAGACTCCTCTGCTTGAGGAAAGAGGAGGGAAGAGTGAAAAAGAATCTTGTGGCTTTGGTGCCAAGCTGAGCCACAATAGGAAAAAGCACCAGGTAGATTCCTAAGGTTCTCGACTCCAGGACCTGGCTCTCAGATGGTATCTCTGGACCCAACTGGGACTGAGGTAAACTTGTGGCCATGAAGGGAAGGACACAAGCCTGGCTGGATTTGCCACATGATGATTGTAGAACCCTTGGGCCTTGAGTGTGCATAGGCAGTAGCCAGGCAGTGGTGACTGCAGGCCTTGGGTGTAACCCAGTGTTGTGCTGGCTTTGGGTCTGACCCAGCACAGTGGTGGTGGCCATAGGGGTGCATGTGTCACTCCTCCTGCAGCTTCTGGCAGCTCATCACAAACAAGGAGAGTCCATTTGTTTCAAAGAAAGTAAGGGGAAAGAACAAGAGATTCTGTCTGGTAATCCAGGGAATTCTCCTGGGTCTTATCCGAGACCACCAAGGCAGTACCTCTATGAGTCTGCAAAAGCCACAGTATTACTGGGTAGCTTAGTGTGCCCCCTAAAATAAATACAGCTGTGGTAACCAAAGACTTAGACCACAACACTTAAGTCCCTTCAAATACCTAGAAAGTCTTCCTGAAAAGGATGAGTACAAACAAGCCCAGACTGCAAAGACTATGATAAATACCCACCTCTTCAATGCCCAGACACCCACAAGCATCCATAAGCACCAAGACAATCCAGGAGAATATGACTTCATCAAACAAAGAGTCCCAAAAATACAGAGATATGTGACCTTTCAGACAGATAATTCAAAATAGCTGTTTTGAAAAGCTCAATGAAATCCAAATTTAAAAAAAAAAAAACTGAAATTCTATCAAATATCTTCTCTGACCACAAGAAAATAAAATTAGAAATCAATAACCAGAGAATTTTGGAAACTATACTAACACATGGAAATTAAACAGTGTGCACTTGAATGAACAGTGGATCGATGAATAAATTAGAAATAAAATTGACACCTTCTTGAAACAAATGATAATGGAAACACAACATACCAAAATTTATGGGATATGGTGAAAGCAGTATGAAGAGAAAAGTTTATAGCAATAAGTGCCTACATCAAAAAAGTAGAAAAACTTTAAATAAAAAACCTAATAATGCATCTTAAGGGACTAGAAAAGTAAGAGCAAACTTAGTAAAAAGCAAAATATTGAAAATCAGAGCAAAACAAATGAAATTGGAAGAAACAAAAGAAAACAATACAAAAGAACAATGAAATTAAAAGCTGTTTCTTAAAAAAAAAAAAATGACAAGCCTTTAGCCAAACTAAGAAAAGAAGAGAGACAATCCACATAAATAAAATCAGATTTGAAAAAGGAGACATTCCAATTGATACTACGGAAATTCAAAGGATCATCAGAGGCTACTATGAGCAACTATTTGCCAATAAATTGGAAAACTTTGAAGAAATGAATAAATTTCTAGACACATACAACCTACTAGGATTGAACCATGGAGAAATTCAAAACCTGACAGACCAATAACAAGTTATGAGATCAACACCATAATGAAAAGTCTCCCAGCAAAGAAAAGCTTGGAAACCGATGGCTTCACTGCTGAATTTTACCAAACATTTAAAGAAAAACTAATACCAACCCTACTTAAACTATTTTGAAAAACAGAGGATGAGTGAATACTTCCAAACTAATCTTATGAGACCACTATTACTCTGATACCAAGACCAGACAAAGACTCATAAAACAAATTACAGGCTAATAACCCTATTGAATAGTGAGGCAAAAAATCCTCAACAAAATACTAGCAAACTGAATTTGACAACACATTAAACAGATCATTCATCATGACCAAGTGGGATTTACCCCGGGGATGCAAGGATGGTTCAACATATGCAAATCAACCAATGTGCTACATCATATCATCAGAATGAAGGACAAAAACTGTAAAATCATTTCTACTGATGCAGAAAAAGTATTTGATAAAATTCAACATCCCTTCATGATTAAAAAAAAACTTAAAATCTAGCTATAGAAGAAACATACATCAGCATAATAAAAGCCATAAATGACAGATATACAACTAGTATCATACTGAATGGACAAAAACTGAATGCCTTTCTTCTAAGATCTAGAACAAGACAAGGATACTCACTTTCACCACTGTTATTCAATATACTACTGGAAGTTCTAGCTGGAGCAATCAGACAAGACAAACAAAGGGCATTCAAATTGGAGAAGAAGTGAAGTTATCCTTGTTTGAGAGCTACAGACAAAAAACACATGATCATCTCAATAGATGAAGAAGAGGCTTTCAATAAAATTCAGCATTCCTTTCTGTTAAAAACTCTGAAGAAACTAGGTGGTGAAGAAACATACGTCAAAATAATAAGAGCCATCTATGACAAACCCAAACATTATACTCAGTGGGGAAAAGCTGGAAGCATTCCCCTTGAAAACCAGCATAAGACAAGGATGCCCTCTCTCACCATTCCTATTCAACATCATATTGGAAGTCCCGGCCAGAGCAATCAGGCAAGAGAAAGAAATAAAGGGCATCCAAATAAAAAGACAGGAAGTCAAACTAAACCAAACAGCACATGTTCTCATTTATAAGTGGGAGCTAAATGATGAGAACACATGGACACAAAGAGGGGAACACCAGACACTAAGGCCTACCTGAGGGTGGAGGGTGGCAGGAGGGACAGAAGCAGAAAGAATAACTATTGAGAACTAGGCTTAGTACTTGGGTCATAAAATAATCTTTACAACAAACCCCCATAACACAAGTTTACCTATATGACAAGCCGGCACATGTACCCCTGAACCAAAAATAAATGTTTAAAAGGAGAGAGAGATTAACTCCTTGAGAGAGATTTTTCTGAGCTCCAAAGCAGAGTGCAAGTAATCCTAAGAAAAGGTAACACCTTTTTAAAAAAGATTAAAAAATAGAATTTTTTTAAAAAGCCAAATATCCTTGTTTGCAGATGGTATAATCTTACATTTGGAAAAACCTAAGGACACCACCAAACACCTATTAGAACTGATAAATTCAGTAAAGTTGCAAGATATGAAATCAACACAAAAACACGTTGCATTACTATATGCCAACAGCAGACAATCTGAAAAATAAATCAAGAAAGTAATCTAATTTACAAGAGCCACAAACAAAATAAAATATTTATGCATAAATTTAGCCAAAGAAGTAAGATATCTACAATGAAAACTGTAAAACATTTATGAAAGAAATCGAAGAGGACACAAAAGAATGGAAAAATTTTCCATGTTCACGGATTAGAAGAATCAGTATTGTTAAAATGTTCATGCTACCCAAAACAATGTACAGATTCAATTCAATCCCTATCAAAATACCAATGACATTCTTCACAGAAACAGAATAACAATCCTATAACTTACATGGAACCACAAAAGACCCAGAAGAGCCAACGCTATCCCAATCAAGAAGTACAAAACTAGAAAAATCACATTACCTAACTTCAAATTATACTACAGTGCTACAGCAACCAAAACAGCTTGATACTGGCATTAAAAAAACAGACACATAGACCAATGGAATAGAAGAGAGAATCCAGAAACAAATCCATACATCTACAGTGAACCCATTTTCAACAAAGGTGCCAAGAATATATATTAGGGAAAAAACAGTCTCTTCAAAAATTGTGCTGTGAAAACTGGGTATTCATATGCAGAATAATGAAACTGGACTCTATCTCTTGCATATACGAAACAAATCAAAATGAATTAAAGACTTAAATCTAAGACCTCAAACTATGAAGCTACTAGAAGAAAACATTGGGGAAACTCTCCAGGACATTAAACTGAACAAAGATTTCTTGAGTAATACCCCACAAGCACAGGCAACCAAAGCAAAAATGGACTGATAGGATCACATCAAGTTAAAAAGCTTTTGCACAGCCAAGAAAAGTATCAACAAAGTCAAAAACAACCCATGGAATGGGAGAATATATTTGCAAACTATCCATCTGACAAAGGACTAATAACCAGGATATATAAGGAGCTCAAACAACTTAACAGGAAAAAAATTGAATAATCCGATTCAAAAATGGGCAAAAGATCTGAATAGACATTTCTGAAAAGAAGACATACAATTGTCAAGCTGGTATGTGAAAAGGTGTGCAGCACCATTGATCAACAGAGAAATGCAAATCAAAACTGGGGTGAAAATATCATTTCACCCTAGTTAAAATGGCTTTTATCCAAAAGACAGGAAATAATAAATGCTGGTGAAGATGAGGAGAAAAGGGAGCCCTGGTACATTGTTGGTGGGAATGTAAACTAGTACAACCACTGTAGAAAACAGTTTAGAGGTTCCCAAAAAACTAAAACTAGAACTATCAAATGATCCAGGAATTCTACTGCTAGGTATATACCCCCAAGAAAGGAAATTAATAAATCAAAGACATATCTGCACTCACATGTTTATTGTAGCAACTATTCACAATAGTCAAGGTTTGGAAGCAACCTAAGTGTCCATTTTCAGACGAATGGATGAAGAAAATGTGGTACATATACACAACGGAGTACTATTCAGCCATAAAAAGAATGAGATCCTGTCATTTGCAACAGCATGGATGGAACTGGAGGTCATTGTTAAGTGAAATAAGGCAGGCATCGAAAGACAAACTTTGCATGTTCTCACTGATTTGTGGGAGCTAAAAATTAGAACAATTGAACTCATGGAGATAGAGAGTAGAAGGATAGTTACCAGAGGCTGGGAAGAGTAGCAGTTGTGTAGGGGAATTAGGGATGGTTAATGGATACAAAATTATAGTCAGATAAAATGAGTAAGACTAGTATTTGCTAGCACAACAGGGTGACTACAGTCAACATTAATTTATTGTACATTTTTAAATAACTAAAATAGTATAATTGGATTGTTTGTAACACCAAGAAAGGATAAATGCTTGAGGTGATGGATACCCCATTTACCCTGATGTGATGAATATATATTGTATGCCTTATTAAAATATCTCATGCACCTTGTAAATATACATGCCTACTATGTACCCACAAAAAAAAAATGAATATACAAATAAATTTTTTAAATCCCACATATACACTGAAATGAGTATATCAAAGGGGCACAGGAGGTAACTGAAAGAGCTCCCAGTGGCCAAATGGAAAAATTTGAGTAACAAAATTAAGTAGTATTATATTAAAACCCAAAATAAACACACATAATATTCATGAGTCCATAAATACAAAATTGATGTACCTATAAATACATAATTGAATAAATTAATTAAATGGGAAACAAAAGGCAAATCTTTCACGCAGAAGGATTCTAAATAATTTACATAGACAATCTTTCCTCAAGGAGGGGAACATAACTCCTCACGTTTTAAGTGTGGTCTGTTTATAGTGCCTTTCTTCCAAAGAGTACAGCATGGAGAGGAGGAAAACAGAAACTTTACAGCAGAAAAACCTGGCAGACACTACCTCAGCCTAGCGATCAAGGTCAGCATCAACATCATAAATCATGCTGATGGTACGTACCCTTTAGATGATCAGGTGAAAACGGCACTTTGTCTCTGTGATATTCCTCCAAAAAAACTGTAAGACCAGTTTAATCCTGAGGGAAACCATTAAATAGATTTCAATAAAAAGGCATCCTACGAATCATCTGACCAGTACTCCTCAAAACTGTCGAGGCCACCAAAAACAAAGAGAGTCTGAAAAACAATCATAGCCAAGAGGAGTCTAGAAAGACAATAATGGCTACATGCAGTGTGGAATCCTGAATGGGATCCTGGTGGAGAAAAAAGGACTTTAGGTAAAAATTGCAATAAATTTGAATAAACTGTAGATTTTTGTTAATAATAATGTACCAATATTAGTTTATTAATTGTAACAAATGTACCATACTAATATGAGATGTTAGTAATAGGAGAAACTCGTGTGTGAGTGTGTATGTGTGTGTGTGTGTGTGTGTGTGTGTGGTTTAAAGATACATGTAACAGTAGTAACACTATACAAAGAAACTAAAAAAAACTAAAACTAAAAAAAAAAAAAAATTACTGAAGGGGAAGGGAGGAGGTTGTGACCACTTAGGTGTTTTCTGGGGTGCCTATAATGTTGTATTTCCTGACCTGAATGAGTAAGAAATTGGTGTGAACACAGGCATTTTGTTTAGTAATATTCGTTAAGCATTATTACTATATGTTAGGCCTACATATCTGTTTTATATACTTTTCTCACCATAAAAATGTAAAAAATAAAGAGTGGAATGAAATACACTGAAATAATAAAGAAGACTGTCTCTGAGGTGAGATTATGTATTTTTATTCTTTTTCCTACTTTTGAAACATTTTTAAAATTTTTCTACAATAAATATAAATTTTATTTATAATCTCATAAGTTCTGTTTATTAAAGAAGGAAAGAAAAGCAGACTCTCAATGACTATTTGCCCAGGAACAACCTTGTTCTTTGCATTTACAGCTTTATGTTGTGCTAAAAGCTGACTAGAAATATTCTAGTTATGGACATTTAATTGCATACCAAATGGAAATGTAAGGTAGAGCATAATCCCTGAAAAATCTCGAAATGCTATATTACAGTTTTCCATGAGTCATTCTAATGCTTTAAAAATCAGTTTCATAATTCCCAGTTTGGAAATAAGCTAACAAACAACAAAAATACAATGACTTTGGAGAAGACACAATGACCCACAGAAAAGATGGCAAAAACTTGCTTATCGTTTAATAGCCTCCATTTAGAAGCAATTAAGCATCTGGCCTTGTGCTTTCATTTGTGATGTCAAATAGCAGAGGAGACGTTTTATGTGAAATAGACAAAAGCCTCAGCCTGATTTTGTGCACACATTTCAAAGGAGCCACTCCATGAGATGTTTACCCTTAGACAAGTCTAATACTGGAGAACTTTTTTCTTTTTTTGGTCGTGTGTGACTTTTTTGTAAGTCACATAGGCCTCCCTGGGCCTCAGTGTGTTCATCTGTAAAATGAGCCTTTGGAATAAATGACCTCTAAGGACCCTCCTAGCAATAAAATCCTATGTCAGAAGACTATTCCAACACACGGGAGGGTAGATCTTATGGTAAAATCAATGGTGAAGATAACAGCATTGAACATTCCATAGCATTTTTTATCTATAAAAATGCTTTTTAATTTATATGCGTTTTATCCTCAACAGCTTCTATTTTCAGTAGAGACAGAAATATATTTATACCTATCATGGAAATGAGAAAACTGAGATGACTTGGATATTGACATGAAGCAATACAAAATGCAAAATTTTAATATATTCTGAAAACACAGGGCCTGGCATTACGTAGCTGCAGGATTCTGCCTCGTGAGCATTCTGGTTCTCAAGGCTTTATCTTTACTTTTTCCATCTATAAAATGAACAGAAAATATTCATCCCCTTATAGTCACTTCCAAGCAGGCCACCATAAATAGTTATCTGGTAAAATGTAAACTATTTTCTTTGGGATTGTAGCACAATAGTGATCAACTGTGTTAAGACTACTAATTTCGTTAAAAAAATAAAGTAACCATGAAGGAATGAGACTAGTTCATGTGGCTTCTAGACATCTCCAAATTCTAGGACAGATTAAAATACAGTCATTATACCACATTCTGCACTGCATTATTCTATTAGCTGTTAATTTGAATACACCTCCAATCCCGTTTCTTTATATAGATCCAAATCTAAGGTCCACCACTAATTACCTCTTGTCCATGGGAAAATTTTCAAATTCCCTATGCCTCATTTTTCTGTTTTGAGGACCAAAATGAGTATACACACACATATATACACACATACACACACATATACACACAACATAGAACCGTGCCTACTACACACAGTAAGCCCTTTACATGTTTGCTCTTATTATAACTTGCTTAAGGGAAAGAACAATGTAAATAGATGTTTCTAAATCAATGCTTCATCAGTAAAGGAATTGATTTCTTTAAGTAACTAAATCCAATTAATAATAGAGGCTAATAACTCATAGACTAAAAATCTACAACTCATCATTTCCTGGGAAAATGAATTGACTTAATTAGCAAAACTAATGAATTTGCTTAGTGAATGGTTTATAAATATAGGGACAAGTTTCTTCTTTCTTTGCCTAATTTTCCTCTTCTGAACACCCCTATCTGAGACCCACCTCCATCTGTATTGACGCCACGTGAGCCCTATGAGTTGGGCACCTGTCCCAAGGTAGGCCGACCAGAGTGCTGGCAGAGTAATCTTGGAACTAGAACCAAGAAAAAAAGTCACTCCTGAGTAGTTTACCGTAGGATGGGAAACTCAGACTGTATTTTTGTCTTCTGTGACGTTGACTAGAGAGATGGAGGAAACCTTTACACTCAGAGAAGGTGAAGAAAGATGTTGCTATGCAGACAGAATCAGAGATAAAAGAAATAGAAAGTCAATTCTGAGAACTGAGTTCCTGTTCCCAAGAGTCCTGAGAACTGATAATATTTGTGTTCTTGGGTTCTGTGAGACACGCTAGTATCTGTAAAATAAATCTCCCTTATGCTTAACTAGTGTTATTTTCTTCCACTTGAACCTAAATGATTCTAAATAATAGTATGTATACCCAAGGCAACCACTCCGAAGGTCATCAATCGTTAAGGTATAATTGAGGCTACACTCCCAACTCTCTAATGGACTTAGGTTTTAAAATAACAAGTAGAAAATACAGACATAAAAGTATTCATCTGAGATATAATAACCAAGAGTGTTAAGTTCTCAAAAAAAAAAAAAAACAAAAAAAAAAACAAACATTTGTGAAACTGCAGGAGATCAAAGTCTGAATCTTACATAAGATTCATAGTAGTAGGAAGAGAAATTAATGAAAAAGGTTTAGCCCAGGTATATAACAGGGATCATTCCCCAGTTCAGCGCTGAGATTCTGGCTTCAGGAGTAAAAATAAAAAATAAAAATCTCAGTTTTCAATGAGTTCTTCAAATTGAGTCCTGCCCTGTCGCCGGAGGGCATGCAGACTGTAATAAACAACCTTGATCTAAGAGAGAGTGGGGGCAGGGGGCCTAAGACAAGGAGGAAAAAAGATGAATAAAAAAGACAAAGCTTCTTTTCAGATCTTCTTAAGGATTCTTAACCCACATTTCCACTATCTTGATAAAGCAATCAGAAGGCAAGCCTCCAGGGTTAGAGAGTGATAGATGAGGAAGATCCATTGAGCCGATCTTGGAGCTGCTCTCAGGAATGGCAGTGTGTCATTCATTTACGTGCCCAAGGTTGGGCTGTTTTCTTCTTGTCTAGAGCAGTGTTAGATGTCCTAATAGGTGCTTCCTAGAACTGGCAAACCATAATCTGAGTTTAATGGTTTCCTCCTTATCTCCAAGGAAAATTTACCAAAAACAATCAGGAAGTCTAGCCAGGAAGGTCATGGTTATAATTAATATTAAGCCTGGCACTAATACAGCTTCAGATTCCAACTTTCAAAGGGAAAACAGGGCAGGCCATCTGCTCTGGCTGATATGTGCTATCTCTCTGCCCTGACTGATTGAAGACCTGAACCTGAAGCCAGCCTGCAGAAGGAAACTCTTGAGAAAAATGTGGGAGCGCTGAAGCTGTAGCCTCATCAAGGCCTCCTAAATCAGGAGCTGGCTGTCAGTCCCCCGGCCTGTAAATGAGTGTTTAGGCAATATTCGCCTTCCAGCTTCCATTATGATAAACATCCTTTGCTCATTTCTTCCCCTTTGTTGGATCACTGCCTTCACCAGTCTGACTTTAATTGATTTATTTTAATTAGCCTCTTGGGTGTGAAAGTACAAAATTTCCCACAGAGTCATTAGAGGGAGTGAGACTCTCCAAAGAAAGTATCCACATGGACATGGGGAGAGGGACGGGAGAGGGTGAGATGTTTGTAGTGGGAGCATTCCTTTTATTTAAAGATCCCGCAGAAAACACACTTGCTTATCTCAGTAAGTTAGAAAAAGTCTTATCACCAACTGACCTTCTTGACATAACTAGGGAAGTGGGTAGAATAGAGGGTGGTTTGAAAACTAAGACACATATAAATAGGAGGTTATAGATGCTTTTTGCATTCATTCTGTAAGAGTTCTCTTGTTAAGCTAATCAATCCCGGCTTAAAAACTGTGTTCCTTCAGGGAAGAGACTGGGAAATGAGTTGATGAGCATTTAAGTTTTATGGCTACAATCCTGGGTTGGCATCCTTGGGTCCCTGGTTCCTAAAATCAAGTCTGAAGGCCCAGCTGTACCACTGACCACTTGTATGACCTTGGACAGGTCACCGAATCTAAGCTTTACTATTCTCATTTAAAAACCAAAACAAGAGAGGACTAATGCCTACCTAACCTAGCTGAAAGATGCTACTTTGCGCTCACCCATTCAATCTTCCAACATGCGATCGTAACTCAATGTGCAACAAATGAGTTTGAATAAAATTCTGCAGTGTAAAGACGGAACAATCAATTCTGTCTAGGGGAGCTAGGATGAGCTGCTCAGGGAAGGCAAACTGGAACTTGGAAGACTCATCAAGTTAACTATGAGAAGGGGTGAATGTGAGAAAAGGCAAGAAATCATAAGAGCCAAGTGAGTTCAGAGGAGCAGACCAGGCTCCTTGGAAAGAGCCTCCCACTAAGGGAACTGTGGAAGCAGAGGCTGGAGGGAGGTGGGGCCCAGAGTGCACACTCTTGGAATCAAATGAGAAACTGCATTGGGAAGCACTTTCTATATTGCGAGGTGAATGTGAACGTCTGCTATTCTTATCATTGCTTTTCCCCTTCATTCCCTAATCTTCTTAAGTGCTGCTGAGAATGCCAAATTCCCCCATCATGGTTTCACAAAGAGATGCTTTGAAGCCTCCAGACCTGAGCTTGAACCTGGGCTCCAAATACTTGCCATGTGACATATTACAGAACCTCAATTCCTCACCTTGAAGATAGGAATAATAATACCTACTCTGCTAAAATGTTATGGATGTTAGAGATAAATTATATAAAATGCCTGGCACATTCCAGGTGGTCAAAAAATGGTAGCTATTAACATATTTTTATTAGAGATAATGCATTTGAAGCACCAAGATCAATGTCTGGCACAGGGGAGATATTAATAAATTCCCATTACTTCCCTTAGAGGTGAGAAGGGCAGTTTGTTGATTACCATTACTTGAGAAGGGTTCAGAACTCCACTTCCTCCAACGATTCTCCTCATCTGAAATTTCCACTCCCATTCGACAGGTCATGGAAAAACTTTTCCAAATTGGGTTTTGAGGGAAAATATTTCAAAGATCTGAATATGTATTAGAAACACACACATGCACATACACACACACACACACACACACACACACACACGCTCATATGCAAACAACCAAGCACCATTTTCCAAACGTATGTGACCATAGAACACTTTCCTCTATAGAGCCAAACTCAGTTGGAGAAAAGGCAGATTCAGGTTTTCTTTGCAATAAGTCCCTGTTAACATTCAGACATCTTATCCAAGAAGAGATAAAACTTGAATATCTTACCATTAACTTTTTTTTTTTTTTGAGATGGAGTTTCACTCTTGTTGCCCAGGCTGGAGTGCAATGGCGTGATCTCAGCTCACCACAACCTCCGCCTCCTAGGTTCAAGCGATTCTCCTGTCTCAGCCTCCCGAGTAGCTGGGATTACAGGCATGTGCCAACACGCTTGGCTAATTTTGTATTTTTTTAGTAGAGACAGGGTTTCTCCATGTTGGTCAGGCTGCTCTCAAACTCCCGACCTCAGGCAATCCACGCGCCTTGGCCTCCCAGAGTGCTAGGATTACAGGCATGAGCCACCGTGCCTGGCCTATTACCATTATTAGTGGTGATAATATTTATAATTCAGCGTCCTCTCTATGACAGAATGTCAGATGCATCATCTCATTTAATTGATGTTCATTAAGATCTCAAGATAGTAGTAGTCATCTTACATAACACCACTTGCCAGGAACTCCTCCAACCACTTTACATAATCCATTAATTATTGAAACAATACTATGAGGTAGGTGCCATTATTATCCCCATATTAAAGGTGAGGAAATGAATACACCAAGAGGTTAAGCGACTTGCCAAGGTGACAACATCTGAGTGGCTAAAGTGTCAAGCCCAGGCAGCCTGGCTCTTCAGCCCATGCTCTTCACTACTGCACCATCCATCCATCCCTGCGGGGACCCCTTGCTGAGTGTGCAGAGTGAGGCACAGAGATGGAATAGAGAGACGTTTCAAAGGAGAATAGAAAGAGGTTCATGAAAAACGTGATGAATCCTGAGGCCATTCTCTGAGACTCTTCTGAACAAAACATTTCTGGGCAAACCCAAAACATGATATAACCACTTCCGGAGGGTTGGTTATTATGTGGCAGAGAATAGAGTGCACAGTGAGCCAGTCTCGCAGGCAGAGGGCCCTGGGCAACCCACGAGCAAATGTTTTATTAGACAATCCTAAGCAAAAGAAGTTTTGTGTTTTTTTCCTGGCTGAACTGAACTCCTAGTTTGACATGATGGATCCTTTTGAGTCTAGCCATGGAACTAGTCTCGGCAACAGTGGGTTGCCATCTGGGCCCCAAAGAGATCAACAGCTTGCTGACAAAGCTTTCCTTAACTGGACTAACCTTGCCCAGAGAGCAGAGCCCACCTGCTGCTCATTGCCCTCATGAGCCACATCTTCATTAAACCAATTCTAGGTCCGTTTCACCTGCTTTTCAAAAATTTAACAAATGAGCTTTGGTAGCACCTTCAACCAATATACAAAGCCACAGACGCAGTCCTATGTGTGGCCAAATATTTTAGACCACCAAATCAGCTCAGTGGAGTTGAAGCCTGCTGTCATGTGTTATTGACACTGACAGCACCTGCAGATGGCTTTGTTTGTCCTCCCACGGGCAGCAGTCACACTAATATAACATGGAGGACTTTATTGCTTTTCCAGTATGCTAGCTTGTCTTCTCAGGGAAGGGAGGATTTATAGGAGCTCGAGAGCCCTGCACCCTAAGATCCTTGCCACAATCACTCAGCAGGTGCCAATGCTCTAAAACCAACAGGACACCAGCTCAGGTAACGAATGCCCAGCCCGGAGGCCTTGAGACCTCTCCCTGAAATAGTTTGCCTCATTATGGTCCAACAAATGACAAACTATCATACAACCACAAGAAGGGATTCATGGGAAAGGAGTGTAGCAGCTTCAGATAATGTTTTGATATAAGAAAATTTAAAATAGCAGTATTCAGAATGGCCATATACTCTGGATTCAACTATGCAAAAATATTTTTGCAAGTGGAACCTAGTAGGAACACAATAGGAAAAAATCCATTATTTTACTCGTATGTTAGAAAAAGAATTTTTTAATTATTTCACACTTTTAAATGTTATCAGTTTGGCCAACATCGTATAAGATTTCGAACATAAAAGAATTATAATATCCATTATAGCTTTTGTAAAGGAAGAAAATTGATAGCCATTGATTATGTATGACATGTCAGGGGAGGTACATGAAATATTGCAATTAACCCTCACGACAAAATTACAAAGTTAGATAGTATCATCTCCTTCCTTCAGATAACACTAAATAACTTGCTAGTAGTTGACTACAGTAGACTGTGATATGGTTCCAAATCTTTCCTTCCTCCCCAGTAATAGGATCATCTGTCTATACTCTTTGCCATGTAAATTTGCAGTGCCCCTTTGACTATGGGTTTAGCTATGTGTCTTGTTTTGGCTGATGGGATGTTAGCAGATGGGATGCAAACAGAGGCTTAGAATGTGCTTTTGCAGTTGGACTTGCTCTCTTGCCCCTCTGCCATCACCAGTCTAGCCTTCTGGTCCCAAAAAGACACACAAAACAGAGCCACCCCCACTGAGCCATGCCTAGATCAATCTATCCCACACCCAACAAACCCCCAGGCTGCCCCACCGACACGTGAGATAAACTAGTCCTTACTGTTGTATGCCACTGAAATTTTGTGATTGGTTACCACCTAGCACTAGGTTCTGGCCAAGGTTAACTGAAAAGTGACTAAGTTAGAAGTCGAACCCAGACCTCAAAATTCATAGTCTATTTTTCTGGGTAATACAATCAAAGTCTAAAACTTTTTCAAAATCACACTTGATATACGGGCAATCAGGCTGAACCAAATGACATATTGAACAAGTTAGTCTTTTTCATGCTTCTTGCTTTCCCACTGTAACCTCCCACACCTAAATATTCAAATTAGGCTGGTCCATGCCCTACAAATGACAGTAAAGTCTATTAAACCTGTTCCAATACAAGTCTGGCTGTGGTCTTCAAAAATCAGGCTGAATGTGGTTGAGAATAAATTTAACATAATAATGGCTTCTGTTAGATAAACAGAATCATAGTTGTTGAAAATCTGGCAGGAAAATGGTAAAATAGGGAAATAGCTAAATAAATTGCAATGCATCCAAACAACAGAATATCATTTATCTATTTTATATATAAAAACTAAATATGTATATGTATATTTGCTTAGTTTTGCATGAGCATAGAGGAAAGTATGAAAGAATACACACCAACTGTGACATTGGTTGCCTCATAGTGGGTGAAGACCACAATCCTGGGTGAGAGTTTATGAGCATTTACTTTATAAATCTTTATGTTGTTTCACTGTTACAACAATTTTATATAAAACTTTTCAACCATTGTTTCTTTTTCTTTTTTTTTCTTTTTTTTTTTTTTTTTTTGAGACAGAGTCTCACTCTGTCGCCCAGGATGGAGTGCAGTGGCGCCATCTCGGCTCACTGCAAGCTCCACCTCCTGGGTTCACGCCATTCTCCTGCCTCAGCCTCCCAAGTAGCTAGGACTGCAGGTGCCCACCAACATGCCCAGCTAATTTTTTGTATTTTCAGTAGAGACAGGTTTCACCGTGTTAGCCAGGATGGTCTCGACCTCCTGACCTCGTGATCCACCCGCCTCGGCCTCCCAAAGTGCTGGGGTTACAGGTGTGAGCCACTGCACCTGGCCAACCATTGTTTCTCTAAATATTTATTCTCCTCCTTTCTCTCTCTCCTTTCTTTCTGATACTCCCATTATGTCTATGTTGATGTATTTGATGGTCTCCCACATTTTTTTTCTGAGGTTCTGTTCATTTTTCTTCATTCTTTTTTCCCTCTTTTCTTCATCTTGCATAGCCTCTATCAATCTATTTTCAAGTTTGTTAATTTTTTTTCTCACTACTTCAAATCCACTGTTGAGCCACTCTGGTAAATGTTTTATTTCAGTTATGTAATTTTCAACCCCAGAATTTCCATTTGGCTCTGTTTTGTAATTTCTGTTTGTTAACATTCTCTATTTGATGCCACATTGTCATCCTACCTTCCTTCTTTAATCACAGTTTCCTTTAGTTCTGTGAACGTATTTGTATAATGGCTATCTTAAAGTATTTTGTTACTGAATATGATATCCGGTTATTCTCACGAGCAGTTTCTATTGCCTTCTTTGCTCCAGTGTATGCTGTTTCTTTATATGGCTTACAATATTTTTTTGAGACTGAACATTTTAGATAATATATTGTAGCAGTGCTGGGTACTGGCATTCCCATCTAAGACGTGTGTTTGTTATTTGCTTGTTTATTTTTCAGTGATTAGATTTTAGTGAAGTCTATTTCTCCCATCCCCTACTCCCTACCCCTACTCCATAGTGTTAAGCCTCTGATGTTGCTCCTTAGGGAGGTACAGATTTGGGTATGGCCACAGTCACCCTGAGTGGGATGAACCGTATTGGTTCAGTTCTCTTTCTTTCCCCATTGACTCCTAGCTGTTTAACTCTGCTAATTGCCTGCTGAACATTCTGTTGTTTTCAACAATTCCCTGGGGCATAAATTTCTTTATAAATTAATCCAATCAAATTGTGACTCCTTTAGAGACACAGTTCCTGAGGTTCATGTTTAAGATTTGTTCTGACCCCAACAGGATTTCTCCCAGCTGTTTTATTCTCCAGTTCTCTCCTGCAGACAAGCTGGCCTACCATGTAGACAGTATTGTCCTAAGACCTAGACTCATGAATCAATTGCCTTTCACCAGAGAGGGCCCTTAGGTTTGAACTTCTCCACTCTCTATTGCAAATGCAGTCAGTTCCTTTGGGAAGAGATTAGGAGCTACCTGTTGTATGGCCTGCTTCTCCCCCAGGCAAAATCTCTGAGACAGCTCTGGAGCTGGAGGTGAGGATGATGACAAACTTCCTTCTGCTCTAGCTGAGTGATCAGTGGAGTTGGGGGGTCAAGGGTGTGACATCAGACTGGGGTCTTCTTGGCTTACCGCTTCTGATATGGAACCATCACCCCACAAGCTGTGGTGGGACAAGAGTGATCAGGGCCCTAGTATTTTCAACCTCCTCTGTTGCATAGCACAAGCTGAGCAGAATAAGGGAGCCCTCACCTCTCACTGGCATTGGCCTGGAACTAAGCCTCGGCAACAGGTAGCTGAGGGCAAGATGAGAAATGCTGATATCCTGCTCCTCCCAGGAAGAAAGCAGTGGGAGCTGGGGGGAGAGAGAACCCTGTGTTCTTGGGCACAGCCATCTGGAGTGGAATCTCTACACTCAGCTGAGCAGGAGGGATGAGGAAAAGAGCCTCACTGAGCTGGGAGGGGAGAGGAAGGAAGCGGTCTTGGGGCAGATACCACAGACTCTCTCCTTTCCTGCTGAATATTCATAGACTTGCTTGAAGATATTTTTCTTTTCATTTGCCTTTAGGACCATTTATAGAGACTTCTGTTTGCTTGTTTTTTGTTTTTTTAATGATTGTCATCTGCTTCACTGGTGAGCAGGTCACTGGAGTTCCTTACGCTGTCATGCCAGAAGTGGAACTCCAATTACTAGTTTTATATAACTTTTGTAATCAATAAAAATGTAAAACAAGAAGCAAACAATCTAAATTTTTTATACCAAATCTGCTAATTTATAGATGTAGAAACTGAGGCCTAAAGTCAGTGGCTCAAGCTGATTAGTAGCAGGGCTTAGATCTACATCTATTTCTATGTATACTTATGTTCTTTTTCTTACATCACCCTTGACTTTCTTCTACCTCAGCTAACTTCTTCTGGTATCTTTACCCTCTCCCCTGGCCCCAGGCCCCTTTCTAGTACTAGCCATACCTCTCTTGCTCTAGGATAGCATACCCCAGGGGTTCCTGTTACTCTTCAGCTACTTCTTTTTTTTTTTTTTTTTTGAGATGGAGTCTTGCTCTGTCACCCAGGCTGGAGTGCAGTGGCAGAATCTCGGCTCACTGCAAGCTCTGCCTCTCGGGTTCACGCCATTCTCCTGCCCCAGCCACCCGAGTAGCTGGGCCTACAGGCGCCCACCACCACACCTGGCTAATTTTTTGTATTTTTAGTAGAGACGGGGTTTCGCCATGTTAGCCAGGATGGTCTCGATCTCCTGACCTCGTGATCCGCCTGCCTCGGCCTCCCAAAGTGTTGGGATTACAGGCGTGAACCACCGCGCCCAGCCTCTTCAGCTACTTCTTTCTACAGGGAGCTGCCACAATTTAACAAGCCAACAATATTACCAGTCCACTTTAAAACAATACTGGTCTTACCTGTACCCAGTAGATAGAAAGGTATTAAAATTAATAAATATCTTGGGGGAATGAAGGGGAAAAAAAGAATATAAGTGTATTTATTACCATAGAACTATATACTTAGAATGATAATTATGGTAAATTATATTTATATTTTTCCTAAATAAAAAATAAAATTAATAAATGTTTGTCCCAATGCTACACAAGAAAATTTATGCCTGTCTTGGATAAAGGGGGATGTGATCATCATAGTGTCTGCAGACCAAGGAGGATTTTCAGGACAGTGAAAATACTCTGCATGCTATTATAATAATGGATACATGTCATTACACATCTGTCCAAACCCATAGGATGTACAACACCAAGAGAAAACGCTGATGTAAGCCGTGGACTTTGGGTGATACTGATGTGTCAATGTGCCACTCTGTTGGGGGATGTTGATAATGGGGGGAGACTGTGCAGATGTAGGAGCAGGGGTTATATGAGAAATCTCTATACTTCCTCTCAATTTTGCTGTGGGCCCAAAGCTGCTCTTAAAAAATATATAGTCTTTAAAGAAGGGGCATCTGCCCAATGGCTCAAGAGAGGTGCCTAAAAAGTATATAGGCTGCAACGCAAGTGCAAATTAAAACCACATTAAAGGCGGGGCACAGTGGCTCAAGCCTGTAATCCCAACACATTGCGAGGTGGGTGGATGGCTTGAGGTCAAGAGTTCGAGACCAGCCTGGCCAACATAGCTGAACCTTGTCTCTACTAAAAATACAAAAAGTAGGTGGGCGTGGTGGCACACACCTGTAATCCCAACTACTAGGGAGGCTGAATCAAGAGAATCACTCAAATCCAGGAGGAGGCAGTTGCAGGGAGCCATGATCGCGCCACTGCATTCAAGCCTTGGTGACAAGAGAGAGGTTCAATCTCAAAAAAAAAAAAAAAAAAAAAAACTCATTGATTGAAATATCATGACACCCCTATTATACTAGCTAACATATAAAAGAGAACTAAATGTTGGGGAGGATGTGAAACAACTAGAACTCCTGACAAGAAGGTAAATTGGTACAACCACTTTACTTTGTTTGGCACTATCTATTAAAGCCGAGTGAGTGCTAATTCTAAAACCTAGCAGCTCCACTCTGAGATACATACCCCACTGAAATGCACACACATCTTCACCAGAACACCTGCACCAGAATGTTCATAGCAGCACCACTTTGTGAAAGCAAAAAATTACAAATGATCCAAAGCCCCACTGCTACCCAGAAAGCAGTGCTCACGTGAAGGACATTAATTAAAGAACTCTCAGAATCCTCACCCGTGGAGGGAGGGAAGAGAGTAGAATTGGGCAGAGAGAAGTTGGGTGGGCTGCAATGCAGGTCATCATGGCCTCAGCTGACCCCACGGGAGAGCTCTGAATCTGGGATAGCGCTTCCTAGTTGTCCCAAGTTAGGGTGATGGGGCTAGACCTTCATGCCCCAATGTCAATCAGCACTGGATGTGGGCTGCCCAGCAAAGGAGTGTGACCCTGGGCAAGCAGCTCTCCTCCGCTGAGACAGCAGGGGAATTTGTCCTGCCGTCCTAAAGAGGGAAACTAGGCACCACAAAACAATAGAATGGATAAGTAAAGTGAAGTATATTCACCCAGCAAACGAATTGGAGTAAATTTGCCCAAGGAAATACAATACAGTAATGAGAATAAGCAAAACACAATCCTACATACATATTGATGAAGATATGAAGAGAATAAGCAAACCACAACCACACAAACATACTGATGAAGATATGAAGCCAGATTCAAAGGAGAACATAAGGTTGGAGCCCATGTGTTGAAAGCTCAAAAACACACACACAATCCATGATTAGGATAGTGGCTTCTCTGGTAGTCGGGTTAGAAGTGAGAGGGGCCACAGGAGGAGCTGTTAAGATTCCATCTTGATCTGAGCTCAGGGGACCCCGGGTGTGACCACCTGTGGAAAGTCATTGAGCTGCACACATATGACCTGTGCATTGTTCTGCATGTATTTTATACTACAATTAAAAGTTTTGGTAGTTGGCAGGGGCGGAGGAGGGGGGAAGTGGGGAGTGATGGCTCAGTGGTATCAGGTTTCCTTTTGAGGTGGTAAAAATGTTTTGGAATGAAATAGAGATGATTATTGTGCAACACAGAGAATGTACCAAACGCAAGTGAAGTCTATGCAGGGTGAGCATCCCTAATTCAAAAATTCAAAATCTGAAATGCTCCAAAATCTGAAGCTTTTTGAGTGCTACCTTGACACCAGAGGTGGAAAACTCTGCACGTAAAGTACTTACCACAAACTTAATTTTCTGCATAAAATTGTTTAAAGTATTATGTAAAATTACATTTAGGCTATGCGTATAGGGTGTATATTAAATATAAATTAATCCCATGTTTAGACTTGGGTCGCATCCCCAAGGTATCTCATTGTATACATACAAATGTTCTAAAATCCAAAAACATCCAAAATCTGAAACACTTCTTGTCCCAAGTGTTTCAAACAAGGGAATATTCAACCTGTCCTTTCACATGGTTCATTTTATGTTATGTGGATTTTACCTCCACAAAACTTTTTAAAATTAAGTTTTTAAAAACAGAGAAAAACAGAAGTCTCTGTTGAGTTGAAAAAAGGATGGAGCAATAGACAAAGAGGGGTAAGCAGTGAATTAACCACAAACTGTATGTCACACAAGCAAGAGATTATCTGGCTGTTGTGGCCTGAAGGTAGGAGGAAGTTTCACTTGCTTTCATCCTCTCCTCCATCCGATTACCCAAGAGCTAGGCCTGTGTGGAAGGAGAGAGGAGAGTGCAAATCAGAAAGAATTAGAGTCGTCAACGTCACCCTCCATCCTCACCTCCTTCCTTTTATCTCCCCACAGAGTCTGGTGGGCTTCAGGGCCAAGGCAGACCTAGAAGAGATGTGGCAGGTGCAGCGTTGGAGGCAGATTAAAGGAGAATGATAAAGAGAATCTTCCCACGGACCCACCCATCCATCCTAGTTCAACAAGGTAGCTCCCATTACAGGGGTTATTTTATCTATGTAGCACCGAGACCCAACAATGCCAGCTAAATCAGGCATCACTGTATGGCCGATCCCAAGGTTTCTTTAGAATTGTTACACTCAGCCATTGCTCCCTTAATTTTATATTACTAAAGATAACTCTGCTTTGTTTGACAAAAATGCATCTGGAGTACAGAATCTTAAAAGAGAATGTGCCCAGATGGTAGAGGTATTTAAGGAAATACAGTCTTCCAGTTTGGGATTTTGTAAACCCCTCTGATTTCATTTGTATGCTTTTCCAACTCCCCCTGCTTGTTGCCCTTACACCCTGTTCAAGTTGCCAGGGGCGTTGTGTGGTGTAGCCATAGTAACCATGAAGCCTCTCTATGCTACCCCCCACCACACACACACACACACACACACACAAACTTCACATGCTTCACCCACCAACCATAACTTCACTCAAACTCCAATCGTTTATATCCTGAAAAAGAACTTAAAATAACAAATACCAAAGTTGTATGAACCTCCACATGTTGTGTTTTTGTCACTACATCTAATTGCTATTCACACCAAAGGTAAAAAAATATAAATGGGATTCAGTGGCAGATTGCTTACAGTTGAAGACTTTCTTTTTAATAGACAGGAGAATAAGGATTTGCACCTTTCCCCCTCCGCTAGAAGGTGAGTTGAAATTTAAAGTGGCCTTAAAGATGTGTTCCTTCCTGATTGTTTTCCTTTTCCTTGCAGTAATAATTATTCTTGGCTAATAATGTTGGTTTTTAAGGCAGGTAATTAGTGCTTCCAACACAGTCATTGAATTTCCTGAAAGCAAAGACATTCTATAATCCGGGTCCCCATTAACTGACCAAGAACTGAATCTCAAACTACCAGAGGCAAGAATTCCCCTGTATTTGCATCAGTCAGGCCACACCTGGCTTGGGGCAGCCAGCTCGCAGGAGACTGATTTCAGGGGGATATTAAAGAATAGATCCACATTCAGGGGCAGGAGACCAAGTCAGTGGGCAAATGTGCACACTGGGTCTTAAAATGAAGCCATGGAGAAATAGGGAGTCATTGGTCTAGAAAAGAGAGTAGGACTTTAAATCCCAAAGTCTGACTTTTATGTGAAATGATCTCTGAAGAGCAGAAAAAATGTCTCCTATAAAAGGAGTATCATTAGCCAGAGAAGTACCTGCCCCAGGTACTCACCACCCTCCAAAGCAAAGGATGGGGAAGTCTCACCATGTGTTCTGAGAAGCCCCTGTTTCCTGCCCCGACTTGCTGAATTCAAGAAGCCCTCCAAGGAAGACATCTCCATCTCCTTCTCACTCTCTTGGTCTGTTTTTCTAGCCTGGGTTACCCAGAGTAGAGCCTGAGATAGAGGCTTATGTGAGAGTAAGTTTCTTTGAAAGGGTGATTCCAGGCAGCAGGGCTGAGGACAGAGAGAGCAGGAAGCAAAGAAAGCCGATACCAGGATGCATTTGCATTCTCCAATGGGCCCTCACTCTGGGGCCACTTACATCTCATGGAATCACCTGAGAAGTCACAGCCAAGTCTCCGGAGTAAGAAAGGGAAGGAAGGCATTTATTGATCAGCTCCTGCCCCTCATTGGTCCAGGGGTCCCCCAAGAGACATAAGCTCCCCTCCACTTCACAGCTGAGCATTTGTGAGTATTGAGCACGTCTTTGGGCGTGCCATGCTGTGTGTCAAAAATCCGTGAGGCCCACGCTGCAGGAAGCTTGTCAAAGCCTGTGTAGATTGACTGCCACAGCTGCAGCCATTTAAATAAGAGGCAAAGCCAAGAGCACATGGGGTGGTGCACAGGAAGTATCTAATACCCTGCAGGAGAGTAAGTAATGGGTAGGGCAGAGCATAGGAAGACGCCGTCCTGGAATTCACAGTCATTTCTTGAGGGTATAGTAGTAAAGACCTGACTGCCCGTTTCTGACCCAGGAATGCAATTTCCTATTTCCTTCTCTAGAATCTTCTCCAACTACTATCAACTGGGCTTGATTTATACCACCTGAAACTCTGCCTGGATCCTCAGGCACACACCCTGTCTCCCTCTGACCTGATGGAATGCATGAGGCTGACCCAAGCCCATTATTTAAGATTCTGGACTTTTTCTGCTTCCCCCGTTGGAGAAATCAGAATCTCTAAACACACCCTCCTTCTGCAGTCCTAGAATTTCGGATGATGACCTTCCTCTTGCTTCTGTGTGTACCACCAGCTGTCCCCTTCTGACCTGGCCTTGATCCGTGACCCGGCCTCCTCCCCTTCTGCGTTCTTCTGTCCTCCTCATCTAAGTCATTCTCTTCCTCTTCTCTTTACCTTCTTTCCTTTGGGCTAAGCTTCACTGGGGGATACTCTATATGCAGTGTAAATTAGATCTGAGAAGTCGATGCAAATGCAATATTGATTTTTTATGCAAGATTAGTGGATAGTCTATGTTTTTGCTTGCTGAAGTTTCTTTAACAAAATGATGAAGTTGAAGTTCTTTAATATGAGGCAACCCCAAAAAGTAAATACATAAAGATGAAATCATGAAGACATGTAATTCTAAACCAGCCTATTGGTGTCTCACGTATTAACTCAGACTCAATGAGACCTGAAAAACAAAATTTTGAAAGAGGCATCATTTCTGCTAAACTTCACTCAGTCTCCCTACATCTCTATTCCATGGAAGAAATTCCAATTGCCTTCATTCTTTACGTAGCGTGTGGTCTCCTAGAAACTAGGTCTCACTTACAGGAATCACCTGTGCTTCCTAGTGTTTTTCCCTGGCTATTCATAAAGGATTTCTAATTCCATTAGGAGTTTCACCTGGTTATTTCTGAAAGTTCACAAGGAGTGACAAACATTTGCATGTGTTTTTTCCATGTTCTTCTACCTGCCCTGGTTCACCACATTGATATAACTACCCCCCACAAGGTCACGTGAAGGTGATCCTTCCACATCATCACCATTGCTATTTGGTGTCTCTTCCACTCCAGCGAAAAAGAATTCTGTCATGCAAACAAATGCCAGGAAGGTCCATTTCAGGAAACACACCAGGACTCACATGAAGATAATTTCCAGGTCCGTCATTTGTCTGTCTTTTCTGGTCTGCTTTCTCTGTGTGCTCATGTTTGGCTGTGGAACACTCTGGAAATGGTCCAGTCCCTTCAAGCCAGACTTAGAGTATCCTCGTTCTTTCGCTACGCTTTCTGGTGCCTTTTCTACTTATTCAGCTCCAGGGGAAAAAGTTTTATTGAATGCATGAAACATGAAACACTTTTTTTTCCTTAGAACTGTAGATTCAAGGAAAAAGAAGGACAGGAGAGGCAACTCACGTTTATGAACAACAGGTGAGAAAAAAAGAGGCTCAGGGAGCTCCCTCACCTGCCCACGCTTACCCATGTGGAGCCAGGATTTAAACCCAGGACCTTCCAACCATGAGTCAATCTCCCTATCTCTTTTCCTCTCCCCTCTCCCAGTGTCCCCGTCTCCCCCTATCCCCCCCTCTCTCTCTCCCTCTCTCCTTCTCTCCTCTCCGCCTCTCCCCCGTCCTTCCTCCTCCCTCTTTTTCTCTCTCTCCTTCCCTCTCTTTCTCCCTTTCTCTTTTCTCTCTCTCCCTCTCTTTTTCTCTCCCTCTCCCTTCTTCTCCCTCCCTCTCTCCTTCTTTCTCTCACTTTTTCTCTCTCTCTCCATCTCTCTTTCTCCCTTCCTCTTTCTCTCCCTCTCTCTCTACTTTCTCTTTTTCTCTCTCTCTCCCTCTTTTTTTCTCTCTGTCCTTCCTTCCCTCTCTCTCTTCATCTCTTTCTCTGTCTTTTTCTCTCTCTCCCTCTTTTTTTCTCTCTGTCCTTCCTTCCCTCTCTCTCTTCATCTCTTTCTCTGTCTCTCTCCCCTTTCTCTCTCTCCCTCCCTCCCCCCTCTCTCTCCTCCTGCAGTAGGTTGCTTCCTAGTATCTCTGATTATCTTCTTTTAGCCTCCACTGATGTAGCTACATGCAGTTTTCTGTCATTACTTTGTTGGCATCTCAGGTGAGATTTGAATATAAAACTAACCCCATTTTCCCTGTGGATACCTCCTTTTCCTTTTCCCTTTAAGCTAGCCTTGAGCCTAGATTGCCTTTCATATTACACTGGCAGATCACCTGCCTCTCGCTCCCTCTGTGGAAAGCACTGGCGAGGAGTAATCAAAGCACGGTGCACCCTGTCAAGTATCTCCAAACGAAACAGAGCTCACAGGGCACGCACTCCCTTTCTTGTGACCAACCAAGACTCACATACAGGAAACTCTATTTCTGTGTCTTGCTTTATATGCATTCCCAAGTGATATTGTTCTTACTGTAGAAATCAAAACTTGGAGAGACCCTACAGCCATTGTGTCTGCCGCTTCTGTTTTAAAGATAAGGAAAATGAGGTTAAGCAACCAGCACAGGCTCTCACAGCCTTTCCCTAGATCTCAGAAGTGAAGGATGGAGTCAAGAACTTCAGGGCTTCCAAACCGAACTTCTCCTAGTACATTTTACTGCCTTTGCATGTATCCTGTGCTGAAAACATCTGCTCCCCTGAGCTCAGCTAGGACAGTGACTATTTAATATAGTTAATGCCAGGAACTTTCACCCCACGTATGGAAGAGTTCAATCTTTGAGTAGACACCTTGTGAATACACAAACCAACACTCCCTTCTGAATTCTCATTCCTAGCACATTGTCCTTACAGATTCCCAGGGGACACCAAGAGGTTTTTGCCTATATAAAATTAACTAGCAACAGTAAATGGTGAAGTCCTAATTAAATAAGCATGGGTTAAAAGCCAGTCGTCTGCTAAGATGGTGAAGGGTGTCCCCATCCCCATGTTTAATAAATGATTGCTGAATCCACAATTCCTCTAAAGTTGATGGGAAAGTTTCCATCTTTCAGATAAGAGCATATTATCAACGGTTAAAGGATATCCCAGGCCCTCCAGCAAATGCCTTCTGGAATCATCTCCACATTCAGACCCATCGTAAACAACAGAGGGGCAATACTCATGCTTCGCAAAAGCCGTTCATTCCCCTTGGCAAAGGCGGGAGAGAGGGCTCACCAACCTTGGAGAAGCCTGGTTTACATCGTCAAGGTAGCTACTGCCCTCTAGTGTTGATATGGGAATAAAGCAAAAAAGTATACCTGGTTGAAACGAAACCGAACTCCACAAAGTTTTTCAATTACTGATGTGTCTCAGCAGCCTTGGTAGGAGCTTGGAAAACATCATCAGGTGAGGATATTGCACTGGAGCTGACCTCTTGTGGCTTCTAAAGTTTCTTTCTTTTTTTTTTTTTTTTTGAGACAGAGTCTCACTGTGTCACCCAGGCTGGAGTGCATTTTCTTGTGTCCAACCAAGACTCACATACCATCTCAGCTCACTGCAACCTCCACCTCCCAGGTTCAAGAGATGCTCCTGCCCTAGCCTCCCAAGTAGCTGGGATCACAGGCATGTGCCACCACACCCAGCTAAGTTTTGTATTTTTAGAAGAGATGGGGTTTCACGATGTTGGCCAGACTGGTCTCGAACTCCTGACCTCAAGTGATCCACCTGCCTTGGCTTCCCAAAATGCTGGGATTACAGGTGTGAACCACTGCACCTGGCCTCCAAGATTTCTATTTGGCAAATTCACATAGCTACTTTCATACTTGTTAAAATACCGAAATGCTTCCATACCAGTTAGCAAAAGGCCACCACCCTCAGCCCTCTGACAACCAGCATCACCACTCCAGAACCAGGTCCCTCCTCTGCACCCCCCAGATCTCTCCATCATCAGGTTACTAAAGTTTTAAAGCTCAGCAAAGCAGGAGCCACCAAGACCCGGACCCAGAGTTACAGCTGCAGTGTTAAGTCCGCATTTGAATCAATCTGAGAATTAACTCTTTTACATATGACACTTCACTTGCTCCTCACCATTCAACTCATGTGCTCATTCATCGGTCTATTCATCATCTATTGAGACCTACTACGTATCAAATACTGTGTTAGTCACAATGCATAGGGAAAATGAGGGTTTTATTAGGTCACAGTCTTGTGGGATCCTCTACATTAAGATGGTGTCTATAATAATTTGGTTAATATTGGCCTAGTGGCCCAGAAACATCTGCAGCAGATGACCCTGGCTTCTTTTGGAAGAGGTTTGGTGGGGTGATTATACCATACTATATGCCAGGTGATGAGCATTCAGAACTTGGCTCTGACTCTGAAAACAGGTTGAGCATTCCAAATCCAAATCCAAAAGTCAAAAATCCGAAATGCTCCCAAATTGAAAACTTTTTGAGCGCCAACGTGTACTCCAAGGAAAAGCTCACTGGAGTATTTTAGATATCAAATGTGCAGACTTGGGATGCTCAGCTGGTAGGTATAATGCCAATATCCCAAAATCTTTTAAAACCGGAAATCCAGAACACTTCTGGTCCCAAACATTTGGGATAAGGAATACTCAGTCTGTAGCTATTTGGCCTTTGACAAGTGACTTTCCTGTGTTCCAGTTTCCCCACTTCTAAAGGGAAGAAAATAACACTTACTCATTAGGTTATTATGAAGGTTAAAGGGGATAGGCTTTAAAAGTCTTTATCACAGTTCTTGTCATTCAGTAAATTTCATGTGTGTTTGTTAAATATCTGGATCACAAGGTATTAAAGATTAAACTGTATTCACCAATCACCAGATCAACTGTTACTACTATTTTAATATACCAAAGAACAAAAAAGGCATCGGTAATCAGAGCAATTCCACTATCCAGTGACAGTCAGATGGAAAAACATCTGAAGGGAGAGATAAATGAAACCACGAAAAATATGAAGAGAGACCAAAAGTGGGTTTTGTCAGTTCACATTTATAGCATCAGTTTAATAATTCAGAAGCTGCATTCACTATGCATAGAATTATTTACAGACTAATATGAGCAACTCTACATGGACATACGGTAAGCTCTATCTGGTCAGTTGCCAGTCATTGTAAACTGGCTAATGGGTCCCTTTGCCTATCACCTGCACCCTCCTTTTCATGACTCACAGCTTGTGGCCGTGTCCTCCGCTTAGCCATAGGACCACAGGACTGGTCAATGTGACATGGGACTGGGAAACGTAATGACTCTTAATTATCTCAGGTTGAAGGTGCGTTACAGAAAGATGGCAGGCTTCCAAAGAAACATCTTCCTCCACTGGCTACATGTCAGCACATTTGAACCAACAGTATTACAAATGCCTTCTATACCTATGAAATATTTTTTACAGTTCTTAGAGTGCTTCACAGGACCGCACACCTGGAGATAGCTGGATACCTGGAGAAATTGTATTAACTGACTTTGCTCTTAGGAACCACCATTCCGGGAGCGTGGTGTTGTAGCGGACATTACTACTCAACAGCTCACCTCTGAAAAGGTAGAAGAGGTATCCCATCTAGCCAAAGGATTAAGATAGTCACTTTTGTAGCAGTTGCTGTGGGAATGATTCGAGACCACTGGCCTGACTTTCAGGGAAGAACAGGAAATAGTCACCCACATCTGGGTACTCTCACCTCTCCCCAAAACCGGCACCTGTCTAGGCCACCTCCCACTGGAGAGAATGAAACCTGTTAATCCTTCAGAATTGCTCTTTGGAGCCCAAAGATTAATTTGAACTTTCCAAGTTTTGGCTACTTTGAAGTAGAAGAGGAAGAAGATTCACAAGTATGAATGACTATGGAAAGCTGAAACATTAAACTTTTAAGAGCCCTTCCCTGCACCTTAATCTCTTTCATCTACTTAACTCATTACATCAAGAACAGAGAAGTAACAACAAAAAATAGAGACACCCTTTTGGTCTGGTAGAGTTGGGGACTTCCAGGATTCAGATGGACCAAAAAGCTGAGACCAAATCTCACACACAAAAAAAAATAGTCAGATATTCCTCCTTCCTTGAAACCTGAAATTCATGGATAAGTTATTTTAATGTTTGGCCCATTTGAAATGTGGCAAAACTGCCAAATCTCTAACTACTTAGCACATATTTCAAACTTTAAAATGTCTTTCTATATTTTATCCCTTATGTAACCTGAATCAAAACTGACTAGTGCACAGCAAGTATATTAAACCAAACCTTGTGTGTATATATGCACACACTATGGATGGTTTGTTTTCTACTTTTACATGTCAAAAATATCTCCATGAACTTCCCCAAAATTTAATTTTAAGAAGTTGGGACCAGGCATAGTAGCTCACATTTGTAATCCCAGCACTTTGGGAGGCTGAGGCGGGCAGATCACTTGAGGCCAGGAGTTCGAGACGAGCCTGGCCAACATGGCGAAACCCCGTCTCTACTAAAAATACAAAAATTAGCCAGGCATGGTGGCGCATGCCTGTAATCCCAGCTACTCGGGAGGCTGAGGTGGGAGAATCGCTTGAACCTGGGAGGTGGAGATTGCAGCAAGCCAAGATTGCACCACTGCACTCCAGCCTAGATGACAGAGTGAGACTCTGTCTCAAAAAAATAAAAATAAAAATAATGAAATAAAAACTTGCGCTACCTTTCAGAAATCTTCTATTAAACCTACTGGTAAGCATCTATATATTTAAGGATACCTACCAAATATCCTCGTCCTGAGACACTTGTTATAACTCAGCAATGCACTCTACCAATGTTCTGATTGCAAATCTTTAGCTCATGATAAGGTTGATATTGCCACTGTAAAATGTGTAGCATTTAGGTTTTGGAAAATTATCCTTCTTAAAACCATTAGAATATCAATAAATAGATCATAAAATACATTTTTAAAGAAGTATTGTTTTGTCACTTTTAGTATTTTGGGTGTCTATGGGATTTGCTTTGCCGTTCTTTTGGAGGAATGTTTTAATAAAAAACAGTCATTTGTAATTTGCTCATCAATTGCTTATAGTTATGTTTGTAAGTATTTTTATGCAATTCCTTTGTGATAGAGTCCAATATCTAATTTTTCTGGAAAGCCACTTTATTTATAGTTTTAATTGACAAGTAAAACTTCTATATATTTATGGTGTATAACATAATGTGTGTGTGTATATATATGTATGTATATATACACACCCACATTTTAGAGTGACTAAATCAAGCTATTTAGCTCATGCGTTACCTCACTTACTTGTCATTTTTGCATTTTTGGTGGCGAATTGGAAAGCTATTTTTATAGGCCTTTTGTTCATACCCTATTGAAATGATCACTAATGCTGATTTAGAGAAATCTGAATTACTGAGATTATATATGGTAGGTAAGAAGTGGAGGACAGGGCCACCATTTTTAAATGGCTCATCCTCCTGAGTGACAGTAGCTGTGATTAAATAAACCTCCCTACCTAGCAAAATCATCAAATGTGGTGACCACATTAACTTTGGTAGAGGACAGCTTCTGAAAGACCTTTGCTTTCTAAAGGAATACATATTAATGGTCTCTGAAATTTTAAAGTATTTTAAGCCTGTAGGATTAAAGGTAAATGGACAGCTAAATGTGTGTTTTCAGGTGAAATGACAGTAAATCCTTGTGCTCCAGCTCATAAACTGAACCTTCCAGGGGGCATAGTATGGTCCTGCTAAATAAATCTCTTGCTCATTCTGTAATTAGCAATGACTATAACAACTTTTATTTCTCCATTTAACATTTGTGAGATAGCTTCAGTCTGTTTCATTTCATCATTCATCTTTTTGGAAATCTCGCTGCTGCCACAACAGCCATGCATATAAATTCCTCACCATGCCTCTGCAAATCAAACAAAATGTACTTTAAGCCTGCCTCACAATCAAAGGCTCTATGTGATTTATTTCCAAACGGTTCTTAGAGCTGGGCCTAAATGCGACACAGCTACATGCAAAAGCACAATGTTTTGGACAGGGTCAGAGTCCACTTAGAGAGAGAGAGACCTAGCATAGCACAAGACACACAGTAGCCATTCTGCATTCTGTAAATTTGTTTTCGAATGAGATCTATGTAGAGAAATTTGCTCCACTCTGTCTTCCTTGTCTAAAGGAGGAGGCTTTTCATCCTTTTCGGGAGACATTTCCAGGCACGTTCAGGTGGACTGTCTGCAGGTCAGGTTCACATCTAGTCATGTCTTGATCACCCCCGTGCATCCCTAGCTAGGGGGAAGCTTATAGAATCAGAGGTCCATCATAAGGCACAATGAATTACAGGATGCCACAAGCATATTTGTCTATGAAAATCTTCACCAGGTGGAAATGGCCAAAACAAAGATCACCAACCCCCAGGGGAAAGGGTTCAACCTCTGCTGAGCTTCCGAAATACTTCAAGCCCTGCAACCAGACACAGGCCCATAAGGACAGGACCTGAGTGAAACCAAGCAGTTTCTGGGGAAGGAAATATTTTCATTGACATTTTTGGGTTACTGTTGCACTACCACTAGTTGTCTCGGAGCTCTAGGAAAATGGTGATCATTTTTCACAGGCTGCTAGTTTTTGTGAGCTTCTGGTTGGGTTGGTTTTAAGTTATCAGAGCAATAGAACTTCCCTGACAAGTCAAAGTACCACCTATTGGAAGAGTGTCAGTGCTACTCAAAATATGGCTTGAGAATTGATGCCATCTATGTCACCTGGGAGTTTGTTAAAAAATGCAGATTCTTCAGACCCCACCCCAGATTCCAAATCCCCAGAATCCGAATCTCTGGGGATGGGGCCTTGAAGAGTGAGTTTTAACATCTTTCTGGGTGATTCTGATGCACGCAAAAGTTTAAGAAGCACTAATCCACCTATCCTTTCTGGCTTTTGTCCTTCGAGCCAAGACCCTCAATTTGGAGGAGGGGCAGCAATGTTCCCAGTAAATACCGCATTTCCCTGCCTCCTCTGCAGCAAAGGGAGGCTGGATCGGCTGCAAGGCACAGCCCCTTTGCCCATTGCCCTTCCTTCTGCTTCCTGCCTGAATTGTGGATGTGAGGTTCAGTGCTTCAACAGCCATCTCAGCCCATGAGGCAGCCTCAGTGATGGAAACTGCACTAAAAATCAAGGAGTCTGAAGGCAGAAGGAGCGTGCTTCCAACAATCAGGCAGAAGGAGCGTGCTCCCAACGATCAGGCAGAAGGAGCGTGCGCCCAACGATCAGGCAGAAGGAGCGTGCGCCCAACGATCAGGCAGAAGAAGCGTGCGCCCAACGATCGGGCAGAAGGAGCGTGCGCCCAACGATCGGGCAGAAGGAGCGTGCTCCCAACAATCGGGCAGAATGAGCGTGCTCCCAACGATCGGGCAGAAGGAGCATGCGCCCAACGATCGGGCAGAAGGAGCGTGCGCCCAACGATCGGGCAGAAGGAGCGTGCGCCCAAGATCGGGCAGAAGGAGCGTGAGCCCAGCGATCGGGCAGAAGGAGCGTGAGCCCAATGATTGGGCAGAAGGAGTGTGCTCCCAACGATCGGGCAGAAGGAGCGTGTGCCCATGATCGGGCAGAAGGAGCGTGTGCCCATGATCAGGCAGAAGGAGTGTGCTCCCAATGATCAGGCAGAAGGGGTGTGCTCCCAACGATCAGGCAGAAAGAGTGTGCTCCCAACGATCAGGCAGAAGGAGCGTGCTCCCAATGATCAGGCAGAAGGAGTGTGCTCCCATGATCAGGCAGAAGGAGTGTGCTCCCAACGATCAGGCAGAAGGAACGTGCGCCCATGATCAGGCAGGAGTGTGCTCCCAACGATCAGGCAGAAGGAGTGTGCTCCCAATGATCGGGCAGAAGGAGTGTGCTCCCATGATCAAAGGCAGCCACTCCAGCCCTGGCTTTCCTTCCTCCAGATTCCCTTCACATGAGAGTAAAACAAACCTTTAACTTACTATAAACTTATTATAAATTGGTTTCTTTGAATTTGCAGTCATATGCCATCCAACATAATCCCAGGTCAGTTAGCACAGATGCCCCCTAGAAAAGCCAGATGTGGAAGTGGAGACACCTTTCCCAGGGCTACGGGGATTCTTACCCCACTCACCAATGTCCCTCTTGCATTCCTGGCCCCTATCTCTTCTTCCATGTAACCCTTTCTGTAAAACTGATTAGGTAAAAATCGATTAGGTCTGTAGAAAATGGGCAAGGGCATCATTTCCCTTACCTGGTTTATAAAGATAAAAAATTGGTACACTCCTCAAAGAAAAAAAAATAAGAGGGAGCCACCACATTTGGAAATCCACAGCTGACAAGTAAAGTAGTAGCAATCCTTTTACACATGAAAGGTGCAGTTTGCGGATTGTAAGGTCATCGTACTCGGTGTTTATGGCCAATTTAATATCCGCTCACTGCAAGTGGAATGAGGCAGGAAGCAGAAACTGTGGCCAGTTTTTTCATCACTGTGTCCCCAGGGCTTGGCAGAGAGACTGGCCCATGGTCAGGGCTCAATAAGGATTTGCTGAATGAATAAATGGATGGATAAATACTAATCTTTTTATGTTTAAACTGATGCTTCCTCTCATTATAGTAAAGCCATCAAGGGAATAGTCAATGAATGGTCTCAGGGAATGGCGAGTATTTGTCACATTGTCCCATTCCCCAAACTGCAGGCTTCCCCAGAACTGTCATGAGAGCATCACCTTAGGCCTTCTCGCCCACTCCTCACATTACATGTAATCTGGGCCACATCGTTTAACCTCTCAAGGTCCCCATGTTGCAAAATAAAAGTTGAAGGAAGCGATTCTCAATGTTTCTCCCAGCTGATTCAATCAATTTTGGAATACAGAAGAGACCTTAGTGCCTGAAAATAATCTCTAACCCCAGTCCTTAAGGTTTTCTTACAGTTATTTTTATTATTTAGTTTTAATGAACTAACACAACGTAGGAGGGAACGCTGGGTTGGGGTTTACTTGTTACATGACCTCAGGATGATGTACTACAAACTTCACAGATAGGCACACCTCTTTCACTAATTATTTTTAATAAAACAAAAGATCAAAAATCAGCATCAGGAGATGACACAATACAGTTGAGACTATGGAAAGCAACTATTTCCAAGCTGGGCATCATAAAATACATCATCAAGAACTGTGAACAGATTTGCTAAACAAAGGAAAGCCTCATCCCTTTAACCCTCCACAGCCGACATCGGGAGTCTCTTGGGGTAGAACATGAAGTGAAAAAGAAGTGGATGGCCAGAATGCTGTACATTGTCCCCCAGTGACCTGCCACAGAGACTATTTTTAAAGACGCATTTATCTCAGCAGGAGTGACGGCATTTAAGAAGTAGCCCGGTACTCAGGCTAGACAATCCTGCAAAAGTCTGCAGAGCTTGGCTGCACCCTTTACAAAGACCTGAGTGATGGATGAGATGGGAATTGCCCTTGATTGGCTAGGTGGCTGGTTTAAAGAGCCATAAAGATAATGCAGAAGTGAGATCTTGGAAACCAAATGGAGTTAGCCCCCAAATTATTGCAGCCACCCCAGCACTCCAATGTTAATCCAATTTTAAATTTACAAGATCCATCTTAACTAGAAATGCAGGCTCTAACTGTCCTGCAAGTTTTTTAAGTGGTAGCTGCTCAATGAATTGTATTATCCCATTAAAGAATAATGTTTTAGATGTGGTAATCCCAGACTCACACAATTCTCTTTTATGAACCTAGCCACTGTATTCATATGGAAAGTAAATTACAGCTATATTACATCGAGCCTTTCATTATTGACAGAGCAATAAATGTTAGTACTCCTATAAAACACTGAGAGAAAGATTAATACACAGTGGTATATATATTTGGAGGAATCAGGGTGTCCAGTCAGAGTCAATATGTCTTCTCTCCCTGTACAGAAAAAAAGGGAGGGGTGTAAATAAAAAGGTGAGGGTTGACAGAAGGAGAGTAAACATTTTAACCATTAAAACTGATCTCAAATCGACGGTGGAAAGGTGTCATAAGATTTACCCCTACCAACCCGTTAATTGAGGAAAATTACAGAAAGATGTCCCGAAGCTATCATAGGACCTAAGCATTTCTCCAATACTGAGAAAACACTCGATATAGCCATTATTATTCTGTTTTAAATTTTTGGAGATCTCTGCCAGGGAAAATGTGGCACTTGCCCATTGAGAGCACTGCAAATCAACTCAAACAACTAGTTCTTGCAGGCTGATGTTCATCCGGCCTGGGCAGGTGCAAGTTCACCTCCGCTGGCAGTTGTGCGTAGCTCACTGTCCCCTCCATTGTCAGACAGTTCTGATGTTTTTCCTCTTCCATGCAGTCAAGACTTCAGTCTATTGCTGACCTTCATCAGAGAGGTTTGTCCTAAGCTCCTCCCCCAACCCACACCCCTGTTTATGTTCAAAGCTGGACTTCAGGAAACAGTTCTCTTAAGCACTGAAGAAAAACATATTTGGCATCCACTACACTCCCTAACTCCCACTCCAATGGACTCTGTTTCAAAAGCTCTGGACACATAGCATAGATTTCTCATGAGACCTGACCATCCTAACAAATATGGATTGCATTTGCATTTTACCACTAGAACAAACAAAAAGTATTTACATTTGGAAGAACTGTGGCTACACTTCCCCATCCTTCCCTCAGTCCCCATGTTGTTTGATTCTTGCCTGCAAAGAGTACCAGAGGCCACTGAACACATCTCACATTGTTTTTGGGTAGTGGCAAAGTAAAATGCCAGCACTGAAGATGGTGAGCTTGAGTTTCACAAGTCATCTGTGTAAGGGAGAGAAGTAACTACTCACTACACCTGCACAAAGAAAAGTGCCTGGATTAAGCAGACTGCACAATGTGAGTTTGTTAATTCATCCTCCCAACAGAAAGTTAAATGGCTGTAAGAAATTGTGCTTGCATTTCATTTGATCAGACCTCATTTCCTGGGACCTCAAACACCAAGTTCTCCCAAAATATGGCTAAAATGCTGGCAATATTTGCAGATACCAGTTGTGGAAATTAAACCCAAATAAAGTTATATACAAACTTAGTTTACAGAATAACTATCCCATTCCGTTTCTTTGAATAGAGCAAAACAGAAATAAATATCCTTCTTAAATGTATTACCTAATTATCATGGAAAGCCTAGGAGACATAGGAGAAAAGTAGATCTCTATAGATGTTGCTCAAATACTTGGCTTTCTAGATCAGAGTATCCTCAATGCTACTATGTCAATTTTCGAGTGGAAAATATGATAGGTGATACTTTTAAATGCAAAAATATATACTTCAAGCCCAATCTTCATATAATGACTCTAACTTCCAGCCAAGTTGATTTGTTAAGTTGTTGGGCTCCAAGGAGCTTTCTGGAGGAACCTGGGTGTTTCTGACCCTCTAATTCCTTTTCAAACGCAAGTTAAGTCCTTGCACTTGACTTAGAGAAATGCTTGCTCCTCGCATAGTGTGTGCACTCACTGGAGAATCCTCTCCCTGCCTTGGACTGGGAAGACTTGAAGTTAAACACGCAGCTCTGTGATTCTAAGGGTGGCTCAGGGCACCCCCAAATCAGTCACCTGAGTTACAAACATATTGACAGCTGAAGTGGGTCCTAAACTAGGGGTCACAAAGTCAACTTCTCCTCCCGTGCTATCCAAGGTGTCCTCCGGACCGTGATAGGCAGGAAGTGTGGATGCATTTCAGTGTCCTGGACAAGATTCTCTCGACCTTTCCTTTTCCCATAGGTTGTTCACATCAGGACCTGTTCTCGAGTCTCTGGCAGTCGAAGGGCAATCAGGCCACCCCCAACCAGAGAAGCAGCAGCCAGAAGGATGGGGACCACTTTGGTTATCCCAACAAAAGAAGCAAAGATGGTGTTTCCCAGGATGGCGCCAAATTTGCATAATCCATTGAGAATGCCGAAGGCTGTTGCTCTGTAAAAGAGGAATGGAAATAATTCTGACATTCTGAACCACATTAGATGAACAGGACTGGGCTCTTTCTTTTCCTTATTGCAGGGGGAAGAGGGTGCAAGGGAGTTTTTTTTCCTAAATATAAAAATAACACATTCTCATTGTAGTCAAATTTGGAAATACAGAATAATATAAAGATGCATGGATATCTAACCTCTTCACCGAGACACAATCACCTCTATTAACATTTTGAAGTATTTTCTTCAAGTGTTTTTCTTTTTTGTTTTTTTTTCAAAGATATCTATTTAAAACATTTTTATAGGTACTACATGCTTACTATGGAAATCTTGAAAGGATGAAGAAGTATACAAAGCAGAAAGTGTAAGTGTTCCCCCTTTTAACACTCTCAACCCTCCTGAAGCAGAGACTGCCAGTTGCCCACAAACAGCATTTCCCCAAATGTAGGACTACATTTCCCAGACTGATTTGCTGCTGAGCATGGCCATGTGACTTAGTTTTGGCCAATGGGATGTAAGTGCAAGTGGCAGCAGTTCCCAAGAAGCTTCCGTAAGAGACGTTGCGGGTGGGCCTTTTGCTCTGTTCCCCTTCATTCTTTTCCTTCTATCCTGCTTCATGATGGAACACAGATGGTTTCATTTTGGACCATGATGAGTCCATGCAAGGAAAAACAATGAGATAGAAAGAGCCTGCACCACCCACTCTAGACTTTTTCAGGAAAGAAAAATGCAATGCTTAACCTTCTTAAGACCACAGTTACCTGAGGTTGCTGTCAGCAACAGCAAAACCTAATCCTAATTATGATCTTTCAATCACACTTTCCAGTGAGAACTATTACTAATCATTTATTCTTTCATGACCCCATCTGTATGCAGAGGCAATATTCCCAATGCTACCTCTCCCCAACTGAAATAAAGCGTTTCTTTCTCATACCACAAGTTTATTAAGAGTGTGGGTATATTTTTGTTCTTAAAACTCTTCTTTCATTTTTGTCTATAACTGTACCACACTGTAGCTTTATATTCATCAACCCAGTCTTTTTTGTTTGTCTTAGTATCTTTGTTTTTGTATTTTCTTGGATCTTTTAACATATGTCCTTTTTTAAATAAACTTTTTTCAAGTTCCCAGAGGGGAAAAAAAACTTGTTGAATTTTGAATGAATTATTTTATGTTAGAAAAAAAACTAAATAAAAATTGACGTTTTTGTAAGATTGAATCTTCTTATCCAAAATTAGGTATATCTTGTCTTTTAAATATATATATTTATATATAATAATGTATACTAATTATATGTTATTAATTATATGTATTATCATAATTATATATAAATATATAATCCATAAATATATACATTTTCTGAGACAGGGTCTGTCTCTGTCACCCAGGTTGGTGTGCAGTGTTGTGATCCTAGCTCACTGTAACCCTGAAACCCCGGGGCTCTCGCAGCTCTCCCCCTCAGCCTCCTGAGCAGCTAGGACTACAGGCACATGCCACTATGCCTGGCTAATTGTCTAATATATTCTGTAGAGATAGGGGTCTCACTGTATTGCCCAGGCTGATCTTGAACTCCAGCCTTCAAGCAATCCTTTTGCCTCGGCCTCCCAAATCACTGAGTTGGCATATATTTATCTTCTCTTATGTGTCTTTTTTTATATCTCTTAGTAAAGCTTTATGGTTTTCTTCATTTGAGTGTTTCACTTGTCAAGTTGATCCCTAATTATTTTATGACGTCTGCCATTATTAAATGGATATCAATTGCATCTTTAACTTTTTCGATATATTTTAAAACCTATACATAATTTCGTTTTATTACTGACCACCTGACCACATTGTCTTTTTGTCTATAGTGGTCTCATAAGTTAATTCTCTTAGGATTCCTAGATGTAAAATCACATCATATTCAAATAATAATCATTTGTCCTCCTGTTATTTTGTGTAAAACTTAGCAGTTCTTTGATTCAAATGAGAGGGGCTCCAAATATGACACGTTGTGCTCTTCCTTAGTTATCTATATCCCAATACCTCTGTCGCCAATTTTGGAAATATCATTAAGGTTTTTGCAGAATTTCATTTACCCACCTTCCTTACCTCTTCACATTCCTTTTTGACCACAGGGCCTCTTATCTTCTCCTTTAAACTTTACAATTCCCCTCCACGAAGAAAAACAATTACTAAGTAATGGCCTTGATCCTATGCCTTTAAACAAGGCCTCTTCCCATATACGACCTGTGCAAAATAAAAGTAACCCCTGGGCCTCCCTGCCACATTCTCTGCAGATTCCCTGGACTTCATGCTGCCTCCCGACCTTTATTTCTCTCCTTGCCCCCACCCTGTGCTATTCCAGCTCTTCACTTTTTTGCCTTATCTCCCCTTGAAGGTCTGTTCTCTCTTGTGGATTACATGACACATATGGTTTTACCAACTTTTCACTCTTATTTCCTTCTCCTGGACATAGTTTGCTCCCATCCTTTGCTTCTTGCCATCTTTCCCACCCTATCCAAGCCCTAGCCTGCCAACTTTCAGGTCTATGCCATCCACCATGCAGGAGAAGCTCAACATAAAAGATGTTTGTTTCACGGAACAGCAGAAAGACCACGATGGCCATGCAC